>NC_000023.11:34693553-34843910 GCF_000001405.40 Homo sapiens
TAAACAGTTTTCCCAACACCATTTATTAAATAGGGAATCCTTTCCTCATTGCTTGTTTTTGTCAGGTTTTTCAAAGATCAGATGGCTGTAGATGTGTGGTCTTATTTCTGAGTTATCTATTCTGTTTCATTGGTCTATGTGTTTGTTTTTGTGCCAGTACAATGCTGTTTTGGTTACTGTAGCCTTGTAGTATAGTTTGAAGTTGGGTAGTGTGATGCCTCCAACTTTGTTCTTTTTGCTTAGGATTGTGTTGGCTATTCGGGCTCTTTTTTGCTTCCATATGTATTTTAAAATAGTTTTTTCTAATTCTGTGAAGAATGTCAACGGTAGTTTAATGGGAATAGCATTCAATCTGTAAATTACTTTGGGCAGTATGGCCATTTCAATGATATTGATTCTTCCTATCCATGAGCATGGAATGTTATTCTATTTGTTTGTGTCCCTTCTGATTTCCTTGAGCAGTGGTCTGTAGTTCTCCTTGAAGAGGTCCTTCACTTCTTGTATTTTATTTTCTTTGTAGCAATTGCAAATGGGGGTCTATTCATGATTTGTCTCTTTGCTTGTCTGTTCTTGATGTATAGGAATGCTTGTGATTTTTGCACATTGATTTTGTATCCTGAGACTTTGCTGAAGTTGCTTATTAGCTTAAGAAGGTTTTGGGCTGAGATGATGGGGTTTTCTAGATATAGGATCATGTCATCTGCAAATCAAAGATGGTTTGACTTACTCTTTTTCTATTTGAATACTCTGTTTCTCTTTCTCTTGCCTGATGGCCCTGGCCAGAAGTTCCAATACTATGTTGAATAGGAGTGGTGAGAAAGAGAATCCTTGTCTTGTGCCAGTTTTCAAGGAGAATGCTTCCAGCTTTTGCCCATTCAGTGTGATATTGGCTCTAGGTTTGTCATATATGGCTCTTATTATTTTAAGGTATGTTCCTTCAATACCTAGTTTATTGATAATTTTATTTATTTATTTATTTATTTATTTATTTATTTATTTATTTTGAGGTGGAGTTTCACTCTTGTTGCCCAGGATGGAGTGCAATTGCGTGATCTCAGCTCACCACAACCTCTGCCTTCTGGGTTCAAGCGATTCTCCTGCCTCAGCCTCCCGAGTAGCTGGGATTACAGGCATGTGCCACCATGCCTGGCTAATCTTTGTATTTTTAGTAGAGAAGGGGTTTCTCCATGTTGGTAAGGCTGGTTTGGAACTCCCTACCACTCGGCCTCCCAAAGTGTTGGGATTACAGGCATGAGCCACCACGCCCGGCCAGTAGTTTTTAATATGAAGAGATGTTGAATTTTACCAAAGGCCTTTTCTGCATCTATTGAGACAATCATGTGGTTTTTGTCTTTTGTTCTGTTTATGTGATGAATCACATGTATTGAGTTGAGTATGTTGAACCAACCCTGGATCCCCAGTATGAAGCCGAGTTGATTGTGGCGGATAAGCTTTTTGATGTGCTGCTAGATTTGGTTTCCCAGTATTTTATTGAGGGTTTTTGCATTGGTGTTCACAGGGATATTGGCCTGAACTTTCCTTTTTTTTTTTTTTTGTAGTATCTCTGCCAGGTTTAGTGTCAGGATGATGCTGGCCTCATGAAATGAATTAGAGAGGAGTCCTCACTTTTCAATTGTTTGGAATAGTTTCAGAAGAAATGGTACCAGCTCCTCTTTGTACCTCTGGTGGAATTCAGCTGTAAATCCATCTGGCCCTGGGCTTTTTTTTTTTTTTTTTTTTTTGGTTGGTAGGCTCTTTACTACCGCCTCAGTTTCACAACTTATTATTGGTTTATTCAGGGATTCAACTTCTTCCTGGTTCAGTCTGGGAAGGTGTACGTGTCCAGGAATTTATCCATTTCTTTTAGATTTTCTAGTTTATTTGCGTAGAAGTGTTTATAGTATTCTCTGATGGTTGTTCATATTGCTGTTGGGTTGGTGGAGATAACCCCTTTCTCATTTTTTATTGTGTCTATTTTACTCTTCTCTCTTTTCTTTTTTATTAGTCTACCTAGTGTTTCCATTTATTTGTGTCTTGTTTTATTTCTTTTAGCAATGTTTTGTAGTTTTCAGTGTACACGTCTTTTGTAGTTTTCAGTGTACCTAAACTTTGGATAGGTTTATTCCTAAGTAATTTATTATTTTTGATGGTATTGTAAATGCAATTGTTTCCTTGATTTCCTTTTTGTATTGTTTAATGTTAATGTATGGAAATACAACTATTTTTTGTTGTGTTGATTTTGCATCCTGAGACTGCTGAATTCAGTTATTAGTTTTAACAGTTTTTCTGTGGAATTGTTAGCTTTTTTTCACATAATATAATGTCTTCTACAAACAGTAGTTATAATGATTTTGAAGCACCCAATTGTCAGGGAACTTGAGACCACTGTGATGGCTGCACTGTTTTATCTTGGTTGTTTAATTGTGATTTTTTTTTTTGGTTGTTATATCCGGGAAAAGAAGTACACTGAGCTTTGATATCAATGAGTCAGAAGATCTAAAAGACTGTATCGAAATAGAAATGAAGCATCATTTCTATTTACTTGTTCTAGTTACTGACATTTCTATTTACTGAAGCTTTTGCATCAATATATAGAAGTAAAAGTTGAAGATATGTATCCCTAGAAGATTACTTTATGCAGCACTCTAGAGAGATTAGCATTGGTTAGTATGAAGGGAAATGTCATCACTAGCTTAGAAAGGTATTTCTTTAAATACTTTTTAAATTAGAATTATAACTAACCAAGAGCAATATCATCTCATATTAAAAAATATGTTTGTAGATGCCATTCTTTTTATTCCTCAAAATAATGCCACAGAGATTGCTATGGTTTATTTTGTTTCACAGTTAATTTAAAATATATATTTAAATTTGTAAGTATTTATTTAGGATTATTTTATATCTGTAGGCTTCCCTATGTATAAAATAATTAAAAATGTTTCTAGTTTGTGAATCTTCATGAAACTTACTAGGAATTTCAGAGGCACTGATTTTATCTAAGTCTTAGGAAACCATTGTAATATATCTAGAAAACAATTTACTGACTATAAAGGTAAACATGTAGAAAGAGTTTCACATTATGAGCCAACTATCAATTGAGTCTAACAAGTACCCAACAAAGAAAACACCTGCATGAGAAGCACAGCAGAGAAAGAGGCAGCAAGTGCTAGGCTCTGGGGATTTTCTTAGAATAAAACAATCACTGGCTCCATCAAGGCAGAAATAGGATATTATTTCTTGTAGGTCCTATTGTTTTGTTGTTTAGAAATACAGAGTTATATTTATAGTTTATTTATAAATCAATTAAAAATATCTCCACATTTCTTTTATATATATATAAGATATATATATATATAAAGTGGATATATATTTTATTATACTTTAAGTTCTAGGGTATTCAAAATGTGCCAGTTAAGAAATGTGGAGATATGCTGCTATAAAGGCACATCTCCACATTTCTTAACTGGCACATTTTGAATACCTATTGGTTTTTCAAATTTACTAAAATTGTTGCTTGTTTATTTACTGGCTTATTGATTGCTTGTAAAACATTCCTTTATTTAACCATTTAAGCTTCTAGCTTATTTTGAAAAATAAAAATAAGGTAATATTCACTCAATTATAGGATTTGAATTCAAAATGACCATTTTAAACTCTGAGTCTTCCACAAACTACTTATAAGATCTTGGATAAGAGACATAACCTCACTAGTTTTGTGTTTTTATCTGAAAAGTAGAATTGCTGTGATTAGTAAATGCACATGGCCTGGGATACAATTGCTAACTATATATTAGTGTTATTTTATCCCATAAATACCTTAGAAATCCCAAGATAGAATAATTAAAGTTGAATATAAAAAGTTCCTTATGTCTCACCTGTCCCAGTTCTTCGGTTAACTTGTGAGAAAACAGTGAATTGTTGGTGATGACAAAATTAATTAGTGGCAAAATTGAGGTTTGAACCTACAGTTCTTAACTGATGCTCCAATTTTCATGCACATTTCTTAATTCTAGCTCTTAAAGACAACTTTTCTTAGTTAAAATAAGAAAACAAGCAGTTAAAAGCAGTTGCTGACTACTCAGGGCAATTTATATTTGTAATATTACTTTCATGAATAAATAATCCAGTAAATAAATATTATAGTAACTGTCGGATGTTAGATATAGAACAGGATAAAGTGGCCAGATGGTTCTTTTCAATGTAAAAATATTTTTTCTTGCCTATTTCAAGACATTTCAAAATCTGAAATAAAGCATTTTTTTTTCTTTGATTTAGGTGACAGAAAACTAGCACAGCAAAAGTGCAACTGTTGAGAGTAGGAAGAGTTGGATTAGGTTAGGGTTGAAATTACTACTGGGAAGATTTTATATTGTAAAAAAGAGGGCCTGATATTCTATGAGGAAAGAAGATTCAAACAGAATAAAATGAAAATATTTCAGATTGTTTTGAAAAGTGATCATGTCTGTATTGTCATGACAAGAATATGTTTGCTATATTGACTACAAATTCAAAGTACTGATATATACATACATATATCACCTAGATGCATATGTATGTATATGCATATATGCCACTTTGTCTCATTTATAATAGCTTGATTGGTCCAGTATAATTCTTAAACTAGGTTTTCTTCACAGTACTGGGTATGTTATATACATGCTGAGGTTTTTACTTTCAGTTATGCTATGAGGTATGTACCATCTACACTTTTTCCGTAGAGGAAGTTGAGGCTCAAAGTAGTTATGCTGTTAATTGAAATAACAGAAAAATAGTTTTTTTCTATTTTTCTTTAAAAAAAAAGTTAGAAGTTTGTGAGGTTAGTGTGCATCATTTAGACCACAGAATAGTCCAGCAGGAACACTCACTCTTACAGATGGGGCTATGGATTAGAGCAGAGCTAGGACTAATGTTCAGCCAGTAAGAACCAATTCAGCTAAAATGATTGTTAACATTTGGAAGTACTTCTGTACTACTTGGTAATTTGCTGCTTCCATGAACTTCCAGGGGGAATCCCTCATCTGCCTTGTAACAACAGCCTGGCTGATACCTTGTAACCTGAAAATTCCTATATTTCCCCACAATCCATCATGGCAGGAAGCATAGCTGGCATAGCAGAAGGTTCATGTATCTTGATCAGGGCTTTGGCCATCAGGAAAGAAGTGAAGGGTGGGGGACTGACTGCCTCCTATTTTCTCATCTCACTGGCCAAACACAGTTGGAAACTAGAGAGCAAAAGAGTCTAGGATATATGGTCTGTAGAGGTTGGCCTCCTCAGGCATAGAACCAGATAGGAAAGAGGTGAAAATGGATCTAGTGGGGCAATCAAAGTATAACCAGCAAACCAGTAGAATGAAAGATCACTGCAGAAATTAACATGACCTTTAAAGCAATAAATAAATCTGTAATTCTGGCACAGCTGTGTTTATGTCCTGATGTTCATATCTGCTAGAAGAACCCTAAATTAAGAGAAGGAAGGCAGAAGCTTTTGGTTTGGACTCTTTCAAACGCTATTAGGTTATGCTGCTGTCACCTTTTCTGATCTGGGGATTTCTGTCATAATTCTCTGGAGTCTGTGTAGATGCAAGGCCCTGAATTTGCCTAACCCTCCCCAAATCTTGACAAATTTCAACTCTTTCCTCGCATTTACTAAGAGTCACATTGTTAAAGTAGGACTATCTGCTTGAGAGATTAATTTATTATAATAGTCCTTGGAGTTAGACTATAGGGTAATTGGCTTTTCAGAAATCTGGAATGATGAAGCATAGGTAATTTTTAGAATTGTTTAGGAAAACCTTACTCTCTCTTTCTGGGTATAATAATGTGAGCTTTCTCTTGTTCAGTTCTTTTCAGGAACCAAAAATGTCTAGTATTCTTAAACCTCTTTTGAACAGAACATATTGATTGCTATGTTAAGAATTCTAGGAGAATGATATAAACCTTGTTATAAAAGAGCAGTATTATAAAAGCCTAAGTACAAAAGTGCAGGAATATGAATGTTCTTTCAACTCTGATGGGAATTTACTTGCATGAGAGTGTCTCAGGAAGTTGCAAATCATGGAGGAAGCCAGAATTCAGTGAAAATCCATGCAATATGTGATACCGTTTCATGAGCTCTGTTTTGTCACATATTTCCATTACATTCTATACAGCTGGTTATTCAATATGGAAATTATACTATCTCTATATATTAGTTTGTTAAGGATGCCATAACAAAAAACCACAGACTGAATGGCTTTAACGACAGGAATTTATTTTCTCACAGTTACGGAGAGCAGAAGCTCAAGATCAAGGTATTATCTAGTCTGCTTTCTCCCGAGGGCTCTCTCCTTGCATTGCAGATTGTTGCATTCTTCGGTGTTCTCACATGGTCATACCTTTCTTCTTCTTATAAGAACACAACGTATTGGATTATTGGCCACCCTAATGACCCAATTTAATGTAATTTCTTCTTTAAGTTTCTATCTCTAAATGCAGTCACATTCTGAGCTACTGGTGATAATATGAAGTATAAAAACCATGTGATAATTTCAATTGATGCTGAAAAAGCATTTAGTAAAATTCAACATCCCTGCATGATAAAACCCTCAAAAAACTGGGTGTAGAAGGAACATACCTCAACTCAGTAAAAGCCAAATATGAGAGACCCACAGCTAGTATCATACTGAATGTGGATAAAATGAAAGCCTTGCCTGTAAGATCTGGAACATGACAAGGATGCCCATTTCTGCCACTGTTATCCAACGTAGTAGTGGACGTACTATCTAGAGCCATCAGTTAAGAGAAAGAAATAAAGGGCATCCAAAATGGAAAGAAATTAGTCAAATTATTTTTATTGCAGATGATATAACCTTAGAAAAAATCTAAAGACTGCACCAAAAAACTATTAGAACTGATTAACAAATAAAGTTGCAGGATACAAAATCAACAACAAAAATCAGTTGCATTTCTATATACGAAGAGTGAACAATCTGAAAAATAATCAAGAAAGTAATCCCATTTATGATAGCTACTAATGAAATAAAATACCTAGAAATTAACCAAAGAAGTGAAAGATATTTACAGTAAAAACTGTAAAACAATAATGGAAGAAATTGAAGAAGACACAAAAATTAGAAGACATTCCATGTTCATGGATTAGGAGAATCAATATTGTTAAAAAATTCATACTACCTAAAGCAATCTACAGATTCAATGCAGTCCCTATCAAAATACCAAAGACACTCTTCAAATAATTAGAAAAAAAATTCTAAAATTTATATGGAACCACAAAAGACCCAGAATAGCTAAAGCTGATGTAAGCAACAAGAACAAAACTGGAGGAATCACATTACCTGACTTCAAATTATGCTACAGAGCTGTAGTAACCAAAACAGCATGGTACAGGCATAAAACCAGACACATAGCACAGTGGAACAGAATAGAGATTCCAGAACAAAACCCATATAACTACAATAAAGTCATTTTTGGCAAAGGAGCCAAAAACACACACTGGGGAAAGGATAGTCTGTTCAATAAATGGAGCTGGGAAAACTTGATACTCATATGCAGAAGAATGAAACCGGGCCTCTATCTTTCACCATACACGAAAATGAAATAAAAATTTACTGAAGACTTAAATCTAAGACCTTCAACTATGAACTACTAAAAAAAACATTGGGGAAACTCACTGGGACATTTGACTGAGCAAATATTTCTTTAGTAATACCCAGCAAGCACAGGCAACCAAACAAAAATGGACAAATGGGATGACATCAAGTTAAAAAGCTTCTGTACAGCAAAGGAAACAATCAAAAAAGTGAAGACACAACCCACAGAATGGGAGAAAATATTTTCAAACTATTCCTCTGACAAGGATCTGAATAGACATTTCTCAAAGAAAACTTGCAAATAGCCAAAAGGAATATGAAAAGGTGCTCAATATCACTGATCATTAGAGCAATGCAAATCTAAACTACAGTAAGATATCATCTCACCCCAATTAAAATGGCTTTTATTCCAAAAGACAGGCAATAACAAATGCTGACAAAGATGTGGAGAAAAGGGAACCATTGTACACCGTTGGTGGGAATGTAAATTAGTACAACCACTTTGGAGAACAATTTGGAGGTTCCTCAAAAAAAGTAAAAATTGAGCTACCGTATAATCCATAAATCCCACTGCTAGGTGAATACCCTAAATAAAAGAAATTAGCATATTGAAGAGATATCTGCACTCCCGTGTTTATTGCAGCACTATTCACAATAGCCAAGATTTGGAAGCAACCTAAGTGTCCATCCACAGATGAATGGATAAATAAACATGGTACATATACACAGTGGAGTACTATTCAGCCATAAAAAATGAGATTCTGTCATTTGCAACCATGTGGATGAAACTGGAGATCATTATGTTAAGTGAAATAAGCCAGGCATAGAAAGACAAACTTCACATGTTCTCACTTATTTGCAGGATCTGAAAGTTAAAACAATTGAACAAATGGAGAGAGAGAGTAGAACAATGGCTATCCTAGAAGCCAAGAAGTGTTCTAGGGGAGAAGTAAGGATGGTTAATGTGTTTTATTTATTTGGATCTCCCCTCTTTTTTTCTTAGTCTGGCTAATGGTTTGTCAATTTTGTTTAACTTTTTAAAAAACCTAATCTTGTTTTATTGATGTTTTGTATTTTGTATTTTCGTTTTAATTTCATTTATTTCTGGTCTGATTTTTATTATTTCTTTTCTTCTACTAATATTGGGTTCGGTTTGCTCTTGCTTTTCTAGTTCTAGAAAAATGCATCATTAGGTTGTTTATTTGAAGTTTTTCATCTTTTTTGATATAGGCACTTAATAGCTATAAACTTCCCGCTTAGTATTGCTTTCACTGTTTTCCATAGGTTTGGATATGTTGTGTTTTCATTCTCATTTGTTGGAAGAAATTTTTCAATTTCCATCTTAACTTCTTCATTGACCCACTGGTCATTGAGGGGCATGTCATTTAATTTCCATGTATTTGTATAGTTTCCAAAATTCCTCTTGTAATTAATTTCTAGTTTTATTCGTTTGTGGTCAGGGAAGATGCTTCATATGATTTCAGTTTTTTGAATGTGTTAGGACTTGTTTTGTGACCTAACATATGATCTGTCTTTGAGAATGATCCATATACTCAAAAAAACAATGTGTATTTTGTAGCTTTTGGGTGAAATGTTCTGTAAATATCTATGAGATCCATTTCGTCTATACTTCAGATTATGTCTGATGTTTCTTTGTTGATTCTCTGTCTGGAAGATCTATCCAATCCTGTAAGTGGGGTGTTTAAGTCTCTGGCTGTCCTTGTATTGGGGACTATCTCTCTTTACCTCTAATAATATTTTCTTTATATATCTGGGTGCTCCAGTGTTAGGTTCACATATATTTGAAATTGTTATATTTTCTGGTTGAATTGGCCTCTTTATCATTATATAGTGACCTCCTTTTACTCTTTTAATAGTTTTTATCTTGAAATCTATTTTCTCTGATGTAAGTATAGTGACTCCTGCTCTTTTTTGTTTTTTTTTTTTGGCATAGTATATCTCTTTCTATCCCTCTATTTTCAGTCTATGTGTATCTTTATAGGTGAAGTGCATTTCTTGTTGGCAAGATATCAATGGGTCTTGTTTTTTATATCCATTCAGCCAGTCTATGTCTTTTGATTGGAGAGTTTAGTCCCTTTACATTCTATGTTATTATTGAAAAGTAAAGACTTACTCCTGCCATTTCGTTATTTATGTTCTGGTCGTCTCTTTTTTATTTCCTTCCTTTCTTCCTCTAGTGAAGATCATTTTCTCTGGTAATATTATTTAGTTCCTTGCTTTTTATTTTCTGTGTAGCCATTGTGTATTTTTTGGTTTGAAGTTACCATGAGGCTTGCAAATACTATTTTATATCCCATTATTTTACCCTGATAACAATTTAACACTATTTGTATAAACAAGCAAACAAACAAAACAAAACAAAAACAAATAAAAGCTCTATACCTTAACTTAATCTCCCTGCTTTTTAACTTTTTGTTGTTTCTATTTATATCTTGTGGTATTGGCTATGCCTTGAAAAGCTGTTGTATCTATTATTTTTGTTTGGTTCACTGTTTAGTCTTTCTACTTAGGATAAGAGTAGTTTACATAGCATAATTACGGTGTTACAATATTCTGTTTTTCTGTGTACTGACTATTACCAGTGAGTTTTGTACCTTCAGGTGATTATTTATTGCTCATTAATATCCTTTTCTTTCTGATTGAAGTACTCCCTTTAGAACGTCCTGTAGAATGGATCTGGCATTGATGGAATCCCTCAGCTTTTGCTTGTTTGGGAAAGTGTTTTTTTCTCCTTCATGTTTGAAGGATAATTTTTTCCAGATAATACTTTTCTATGGTAACAGGTTTTTTTTGGGGGGGAGGGTTGTGTTTTTTTTTCATTCAGCATTTTAAATATGCCATGCTACTCTCTCCTGGTCTGTAAGGTTTCCACTGAAAAGTCTGCTGCTAGACCTATTGGAGCTCCATTGTATTTTATTTGATTCTGTTCTCTTGCTGTTTTCAGGAAACTTGCTTTATTCTTGACCTTTGGGAGTTTGATTATTAAATGCCTTGAGGTAGTCTACTTTGAGTTAAATCTGCTAGGTGTACTATAACCTTTTTATACTTGAAAATTCATACCTTTCTCTAGGTTTAGGAAGTTTAGGAAGTTCTCTGTCATTATCCATTTCAATAAACTTTCTACCCCTAACTCTTTCTCTACCTCCTCTTTAAGGCTAATAACTCTTAGATTTGCCCATTTGAAGCTATTTTCTATTTTCTGTAGTTGTTCTTTCTTCTGCTTGCTCCATTCTGTTATAAGGGACTCTGATACATTCTTCAGTATGTCAATTGCATTTTCAAGCTCCAGAATTTCTGTTTGATTGTTTATAATTATTTCAATGTCTTTGTTAAATTTATCTGATAGAGTTCTGAATTCCTTCTTTGGGTTATCTTGAATTTTTGTGCATTTCCTCAGCACAGCTATTAATATTTTAAATTCTTTGTCTGAAAGGTCACACATCTCTGTTTCTTCAGGAATGGTCCCTTGTGACTTATTTAGTTCATTTGGTGAGGTCATATTTTTGTCGATGTTGTTGATGCTAGTAGATGTTCTTCGGTGTCTGGGCATCAAAGAGCTAGATATTTATTGTAGTCTTTGTAGTCTTCACTGTCTCAACTTATTTGCAGCCATCCTTCTTGGGAAGGCTTTTCAGATATTTGAAAGGACTTAGGTGTTGTGATCTAAGATGTTTTTACTTTAGGAGTCATCCCAAGCTCAATAATGCTGTGGTTCTTGCAGACTTGTAGAGGTACCGCCCTGATGGTTTTGAACAAGATCTTGGAGAATTCTCTGGATTACCAGGCAGAAACCCTTGTTCTCGTCCCTTACTTTCTCCCAAACATACAGTATCTCCCCCTGTTCCGAGCCACCTAAATCTGGGTGTGGATTGACCCAAGTACCCCTGTGGTGACCACCACTATGATTGTGCTGGGTCAGACCTGGAGCCAGCACAGCACTGGGTCTTGCCCAAGGCCTTCTATAACTACTCCCTGGCTACTGCCTATGGTCTCTCAAGATCCTGGGGCTCTATAATCATCAGATGGCAAAGCCAGCCAGACCTGTGTTCTTCACTTCAGGGCGGCAAGTTACCCCTAGCCTCGGGTGGGTCCAGAAGTGCCATCTGAGCATCAGGGACAAGAGCCAAAAAACTTAGAAGTCTACTCGGTATTCTATTTTATTGTGGCCGAACTGGCACTCAAATCACAAGACACTTTCCTTCCCACTGTTTCCTTCCCTTTCCAAGGACAGAGGCACCTCATGCCATCCCCACTGCCACCCCTGGCCAGGAGGAGTAATGCCAGACTACTACCAATTACCCTTAAGGCTTAAAGTCTCTTAAGTCAGCTTGTGGTGAATGTTGCCTGGCCTGCGATTCACCCTTCAGGGTAGTGGGCTTTTCTCTGGCCCAGAGCATGTCCAGAAATGCTATCCAAGAGTCAAGTCTTGGAATCGGGGATCCCAAGAGCCTGATTGTTGCTCTAACCCTTGTGGCAATATTGGTACCTGATGCCAGCAAGTTTCAGAGGCTCTCCAAAGCCCTCAATTTAGTACCTGAGTATCATTGCTGGTTATTCAGGGCCTGAGAGCACTTCATTTAGCTGATGATGAATTCTGGCAGGACTGGGTCCTTTCCTTCAAGGCAGGGTATGTCTAGAAATGTCATCTGGGAGCTAGGGCTCAGTATGGGAGCCTCATAACTCTGACCAGTGCCCTATCCTGCTGTGGCCTAGCTAGTATCCAAGATGCAATACATAGCCCCCACACTTCCTTCTCCTCTTCTTAAGTGGAAGGAAGAGGTCTCTTTTGGAGCCTGTAGCTTTTCAGCCTGGGGTTAGGGGAGGGGTGATGCTAGCATTTCCTTGGCTACCTCAGCTGGTGTCTAAGTATGTCCTGTGCCTCCGAGTCCACTGTTTTTGGGCCTAGTTCAGCCCTAGGACTCTCCTAAGAGTTGCAGTCATAATGGTCTAGAATGCCTTTCGAGTTTGCATAGAAACACAGAGCACTTTGGCCCTTGGTGGCAAAGTTTTTGGGCACTCATGTTGGGATACTTGGGACTGGCAATTCTCCTCCGGCTAGCGCTGGCTTAAATGTTCCCTTTGTAGGCAGGCTTCAGCTGAGTTTGGTCTGGTTTTCCTTTCTGCTCTAACAGAACAGCACTGAGTTTAATGCCTCACAATTGCCGTGTTCACCCTTCCCCAGGTCCAAGATGCTCTCAGCACCATGCCACAGCTGCCAGGATGGGGAAGGGTTAGTGTTAAAGATTCAGGACTTTTTTCTATAGCTTCAGCGTCTCTCTCAGCAATATGAAGTTACAAGAAGGTACAATGAGTGCTTACCTGATTTTTGGTTCCTCTGAAGCTGTTTTTCCTGTGTAGATTGTTGTTAACTTGGTGTCCTTGTGTGGGGAGGGGGAATGATCATTGGAGCTTTCTATTCTGCATTTTGCTCCGTCTCCCCTTGCAATAAATTATTATGGAAAAGGCAGTGCTATTAATTATTCATTAAATGTTAGTAACATTTATCAATGCTTATTTCCTTTAAAGTGGATAGAAAATTAGATATTTTATATTGAAAAATATCAACTGAAATATTTTTTTCTCCAGATTCCCAACTCTAGACTGAAACAGATTTTTACCTTTAAAAATTTCTATTTATTGACATTAACGTAGATGAGAAGAATGCATTTGCATCTTTATAAGACATCCAGTCTCTAAAGTAAAGATGAGCTCTGTGACACTATAAGACTATAATTGCGTAAGATGGTGCCATTTAATTTAAAATGGAAATATGCTGAACAGCTTATATCATATGTCTTGTTGACTAGTCTTTATGACAAAAGAATAATGGCTTCCAGGTTATAGATTGTCCTTAGGACTTTAGTCTGTTGAGTTAGAAAGGCAGAGAAAAGGTGAAAGGAAATTACCACCTATCACAAATCAACTTGAACAACATACAATTGCTCCTTAGTCTTTTGATCCATAGCTAGACATGCTTCTACTGATCCATAATACTTTCTGACTGATGACAAATATGTCCAGGTACTGATAAATCTATTTCTACTTTGAAGTTTCTTGTTTATATATTAACGTAATCCTTAAGTATTTTTAAACACTTTTTTCTTTTTTGGAAGAGTAGGTGTATGAGGGGCATAATAACCAGAAGTCAGTATCAGCCATCTGTTATACAGTAATAATTTTAATTTTAATGTATTCAGTGATGCCTAGCTTAATGGTTTTTAAATTTAGTTGTCTGTTTCAGGAAGAAGCTTTATTACTATCAGAGATATATCATCATGAGGAAAAAAATGGAGAAGGCGATACTTTGCTTGAGAATGCCTTCACAGGCAAGTGATGTGTAACAATATCTACTGCACACCACTAAAGACCAACTTAAGACCATTAAAGCCAGGAGACGAAGTCAATACTGACATAAGAGCTTGTGGCCAATTACATGGTGACTCCAGATTTCCTTTGTTTTGGTTCTGCCAAATGTGTTAAAAAGTGAGTAATGCTCAAAGCACAGACATGACATGGTGTACATTATGTGCTATTAGTCAAAGACAATTAATACAATAAATTGCCTAGCTTTCAGAAGGTTCCATGGACAGTTATTAAAATGCTGAGACTGAACAATAATTTTACAAGCATTTTATTATTAGTAGTCATAATGACCAAAGCAAAAATCAGAATAATATAGTTTCGAGTAGATGTAAATAAAATTGGGTAATTTAGGTGATGCTACGCTATGGTAAGCCTTAAAAATTGGATGGAGAAATCTAGAAATGATGCAGCAAACAAAAGGAAGATATTTAATTTGTTAGGATGAAAGCATTATATTAAGATTAATCAAAGATAATTTTATCTTTAGTTACTAATAATTAAATAAGTTACTGAAATTACATAATGGATTAAGAACATTTTGTATTGTCAACTAGGTTTACTTAAAGATTAGAAGCAACCATCTAGTCACAACACAATGATCAGTGGTTGACAGACTGTAGAGCTAAATTAGCATTCAAATAATAGCTTCGAGCACAAGAAAATTAAAAAGTAATAAATCATTCGAAAGGGGCAGATCATCAAAATACAAAATAATAGAATATAAATTGTCCTTAAAATTATCTAGCTTCTCATCTAGTTTCTACCACCATATGAGATAGTTTTTCTCAATTCTTTGGGTCCCATGGTCCCACTATGAAAAATAAAAGAATTAGACATCATTATTTCTAAAGTTTTACCTTGTGACTTTATTAGCGTATTTCATCAGTCCTAAGAGGCACACCTTTCACATTTTAACTTCTCTGAAACCAGGATGTGTCTATCTTAAAATTGCCATTGTCTAGATAGCAGTTATATTGTACTTGTCATTGCCTGCCCATGTGCTCTCTTGGTCATAGCTTTAAATATAATTTCAGTTGAGTTATGTTACTAAACATGTTGAGTTTTATTGATTTACAATACTATAAGCAACTACAGTATCATTTGACTTGAAATAAAGAATTATTTGTGCATGAAAATACAGCAGTAAGAGATAAATTTGATGCTATCAAAGCAAATATTTATCATTGGAAGAGTGAACATGATTTCATAATTTTCTGCAAAGAAATGAAAAAATTCTTTACAGGACCTTAAATAGATTCCCATTGCAAATTACTGTTTTAGGTTTTGTTATATCCTTTTGAAATTGCCTAATGTACTCCAAGCAATGTCGCTTTAGGCAGGAGAAATTTCCAAATCACTTGGAAATAGAAGAAATTTCCAGTAGCTTGAAAGTAGAAGAGAAAAAGTCAAAACAAAAAGAGCCTGGTGTGATCAAACCATGTGCCATGCAGGACTTCCATTAAAGCAATACATCCTAATTTAATTTGCAACATTTTTTTTTTCTTAATTGTTTTAGTGAGTCTTGCAAATATTTGTTTCTATTTGAAGAAACACAGTAAGTGCCAGAATTGGTTTCCTGAACTTCAGGTATTGTTTCACGTATTTTATTCACATATATGATTCCAGCTCTCATATAGTTGACTCTTAAGTTACACAGAGTTGTAAAAATTGGCTTAAATGCACAAGTTGGAAAAAAATAATTTATATTTTTTTTGTGGAGAGCAGTAAAAGTTTTAGACTCCGCTTCGCAATGTCTGCATAGGACTAGCTATAGAGTCAACATTACATTGGATTTTGTTCTTGTAGTATCACAATGAACTCACAAGCATACTCTAAACAAAGAGACAAAATAGTATGCATCATTTCTTGAACTGCACTGGCAGTTGAGATTCATTAGAAATTAAGATTTAACTGCCATTAATTCACTGTGGTTATCACATGCAGAAAATAATAATCAGAGGCTAAATGTAATCCTTGCAGTAGCAATCCTGACAATTTTTATAACTTGCAATTAGTTATAAAAGAGAAATCCTGGATTACTCGTAAATTGTGAAGTGCCATCAAATACTATAATGCGACAGTAAAGTAGGCATAGTTCTTACCCACATATTAAAGATTAGGCTTAGGTATTAAACTGTGAAAAACTGCTTTCCAAGGTATATATATTTCAAAATAGCCAACTCTGCAACATTTTCTGAAGAGTTACTTTCTGTTCTTTGTGCGTAGGTTATTTTTCCTCATGTGTGCAGCAGTGTTTTGCAATTATTGGCCATCTTTTACTCCTGATTTCCCTTACAGAAGATTGATTAGCACAATCAGTCACTGGAAAGCAATTTGCATCACCGAAGGTAGCTTCTTTTCTCTCTTGATTAGCAGCCCTACTGCAAGTTATTCAGCAAAAATAGATAATCCATAAGAACACTGCTAGACGAACATTCTGATAAGACAAGAGGGTTGGAGTTGAATATCACTGACAGTGTCCCAGGTAGACAAATGATCAATGAAGCCTTGCTGTCTTCTATTTGTGTGATTTTCCTTTATTGTGAGAATTGGACCTTTAGTACTGTTTTTGTTTCTCATTCCTATATGAATCTTTGGGTCTTTGAGAACACATATTTGCCTGTGATTTGTGTAAAAAAATGAATAATACCTATTATCTATCAGTATCACAAATAAATGGTACCATATTTCTATATAGATATTCTGCCAGCCAAACCAAAAGCAGTGTCTATGTGAAGAAATGAGTCAAACGAAGTTCCATTGAATCATACAGTTTTTCTATTAAATTAGGTACTATTATGAAACAGATATTAGTTCTCTAGTTTTGATTTAAAATAAGTTTAGAACGTAAATATGTATGCTGGCAGTAGAAAGATGAAAGGAGAAGTTTAACAGTTGTTTCTTTCGAGGTTTTGCTTTACTTTCTCTGCTTAGAAGGAAAAATGCATGGGGCTGCAGAATGATTGAGTAGAAAAGTTGATAGATCTGGGGACTCTATATAATAGGTTAAAATCCTCAGCAGGCTCACTTAATATCTGTGTGGCTCTGAGCAAGCCAATTAACGTTTCTGAACCTCAGTTCTCCCATCTATAAAATGGGCACAATATTAATTACCTTGTCATGATTAAAGATATTGTATACAAAATGTCCAACTCATATCAGGCACAGTAAATGACTGCTATTTCATGATCTGTATCTATATCTATATGGATAGTAAAATATAAGCCCATTTTCATCTGTAGCTATATAGATAATAAAATATAAGCCCAAGTTGGAGCTGTACTTTCTTGCCCTCACCTGGAGGTGAAATAAATAGAAAACCTTCATTTAAACGTTTGACTCCATATAAAGCTGAAGTATCAAATGACTAAAACTCAGTTCTGCATTAGATGAAAATAATTGGTCATCCAAAACGAATTAAGAACCATTTAATTTTTAAACTTTAGATTCTAAATAAAAGGCTTGCATATTGGTATTTTTAACAACTAACACAACTTAAACTTTTCTTTCTTCTTTTCTCTTTGTCACAATATTACATTATAGCAGTGAAATCGGAGTCTTTCACCTTTCTCTACTGAAATGCTCCCAAACTCCATAACCTACTCTACTCCAGCCCATACTGTCTCATTGTCACAGATACAGTCCAATTCCTCCTGTCTTTATGGCTTACTCTCTTCTGTTTCCAATACAAATAAAATCTTTCCATCTTCTATTATCTTTTATTTGGCCCATTTCTCCAATTCTGCCCAACCAAAAGCCCCAAAACTAGCAGGCAAAGAGTTGGACAGAGGAGCAGCTCTTAAGCCAAAACTCTTAAGTCAACTACTTCTCACATTTCCTCCCCAGTTCTCCACTTCCCCTTCCTGCCAAATGTTGAATAAGAATCAAATTCAGAGGGGCCAAGATCTGAACAGACATTTCTCCAAAGAAGACGTACAAATGGCCAAAGGTATACGAAAATGTGCTCAACATCACTAATCATCAGGGAAATGCAAACCAAAACCATAATGCAATATCACCTCACACCTGTTAGGATGGCTGTTATTAAGAAGACAAAATGTAACAAGGGTTGGCAAGGATGTGGAGAAAAGGGAATCCTTATATGTTGTTGGTGAGAATGTATATTATGGGAAATGGTATGGAGATCTCTCACAAAATTGAAAAAAGAACTGCCATTTGATTCAACAAGTCCATATCTAAGTGTATATCCAAAGGAAATAAAATCAGTATCTCGAAGAGATATCTGCATTTACATGTTCATGGCAGCATTATTCACGGTACCCAATATATGGAAACAATCTACTTAGATTGTTGTGCCTGTAGATGAATGAAAGGACAGAGAAAATGTGTGTGTATTTTTTTTTTGTATGTGTGTGTGGGTGTGTGTGTGTGTATGTTTAATGGAATATTATTAAGCCTTAGAAAAAACCTTAGGAGCACAAAGTACAATGGTGATTGCTAGGAACTGGGGTAGTGGTGGCGATGGAGGGGGAAATTTGGTGAGGTTACTCAAAGGGTATAAATTTTCAGTTATGTGGGATGAATAAGCTCTGGAGATCTAATGTGCAGCATGGTCACTACAGTTAATGATAATGCATTGTGTACTTGACATTTGCTGAGAGTAGATCTTAACTGTCCTTAACACACTTGCACACACACATACACGGTAAATATGTGAGGTGATGGATATGTTAATCAGCTTGATTGTGATAAGCACTTTACAATATATATGTATATTAAAACATCATATTATACACTTTAAGTATATACAACTTTTATGTGTCAATTATACCTCAATAAAGCTGGAGAGAAAGGAAAACAAATTCAGATGCACCAACTTCTGTTTTATTTTACTCAGGATGTTAAGAAAGAAGATTCTATGGGCTATCTTATCCTCTTGTTTATAATGCCTATCATTGTGATGGCAGAGAGCAAAAACAAAATTTTGTGTATTACAGAAAACCAACAACTGGTTTAGGATTATAGGAATTCCTTGGTGGGTCCCTCTGAAAACAAATTTTAAAAATGACATGAATCATTTTCAAAATTGGGACCTGTTTTATTTATTTGTAGGGAAAGTTCAATTAATTGAATGTCTGAATAGGCTAAGAGTATGGATAATAACAGGTAATATAATCAAGGCCAGAATTTTTGTATTTCATAGGAAGAAAAGATGAAGCTTTTTTTCCGCTGAAAGATTAGGGAAGAATGTTATGAAAAATTGTAGGGAGGGTTCCAGCCAATTGTGCTTTATGTTTTTGTCTTTTATGTTTGGGAGCATTCCAAACTTATGTTTTCAACATCCAGAAAAGAAAGGCACAATATACCGGTCAATTTTCTAAAATACAAAATAAAGTGTATTTTACATGTCATCATGTGTGAATTAGCTATTAAGAGCTCAGACTGGTTGGAAGGTAGCATAACTTCCTCTGAATTACAGTGATAATTCAAATTTTAAAGACTCCGTAACAGTTTGGCAAGGAAGAAAATATACTGAGAGAACAGACCAACCTATGACAAATGTAAACTTATACTTTCCCACTGTTAGGAATATGCAAACTGTACAAAAAAGGGAAGCAAGGGCTTCAGAAAATTTTCTGAATATTAGCATAAGGTTAATGTGGCATATTTTTGCTTTTATATATAAAACTAATTTTGGCAAACAGTGGCGCTCTATCATTTCCTCCTTATTATAAGATGCGTGCAACCAATTCAGTTATTTCTTAAAATGTATACATTTGATTGAAAAAGCACTTATTGAACCCATTATATAGTTACTCATATTCACTGAGTGGTTGGTACCAAGAACATACTGTGTGCTGGTAGTGCTGTGTGTATTGTCACTCGGCCATTGTAGTGACACCTGAACATAAGATTTATATAATTAATGGGGTATGATACATATTAATAAGTGCTTCAAGTGATATAGTTTCAAATATAGGGAGGTCTCTTCTTCACTGTGACAGTCACACAGCCAGCTATAAAGAAGTGTGTGACTGCAAAGCCAATATAAATTAGACCTGCAATTTTTTACTTAACTTAGAATAACTTTTGTCCCATGAAATTCTATCTGTGTGACCTTACATTCCTTTGCTATATGGGAATATTTAAAACAGGATATTTCATTTGATGATTACATGGGAGAAGGCATTTCAAGCATTTGCAATCTTTATCTACATGAGAAAGTTTATGTAGGTAGTGTCTACTAGAAAATGTATTCTAGAATTCTTATGCTTCTAATAGGCAATTTCCTTCCCATTGGACAAATTGAATATGTTTCCTGACACTTAACTCTTTCTAAAAAGGAGTCTTTTATCTTACACCTGATTTGTGTAATATGTCCCCAATTTCATAAGCTCTTCTACATTTACGAAAATAGGTGCCATCAATTGCTATTGGTGGATTCATGCTTAATAAACTGCAGAATGATTTTCTTAAAATGCCAACTAGATCATGCCTTCTCCCCCAAATTTTTCATGCACTTCCCATTATACCTAAAATAACATCTCAAATACTAAATCTTTTTATAAAGCCCTTTTGGGAGCTGACTTCTGCCTTCCTCCACAAATTCTTCACGTTTCATCCCCTCCCCCTACCGCCCCCCCGCCACCATGCTACTCACTCTTGACCTTTTTTCATTCCCTCAAACCCCCAAATAACTTTCTTACCTCAGGGCTTTTGTGCATCTTCTTGTTTGCTCTTTTCATGCCTGACTTATTCTCATCCTTAAGGACACGCTATACATGATTACTTCTCAGAAAGACCTTCCTTGAATTTTCAATTGAAATTAAGATCCCTCGTACAATTCTACAAAACAAACTTAGTTTCCCTTTATGTAGCACTTATCATCCCTCCTAGCTGTGCTTATTGATGTGATAATTTGATAGTCTCTTTCCCCTTAACAGTAAACTGTGTAATTGCATGGGCTTTATCTGTTTCAGTCAATACAGTATCTTTAGAGTGTAGTATAGTGCCCAAATTCCTCAAAATAAATGGACTGAAAAAATTCAGTCAATGGATCTGCAAAAAGTAAATATAAATATATCTCCTTCCCAGAATATCCTGTCCACAGGGTTTTTGTTTTGATATTTTTAAACAGGTGATTATAAGTGGTTGTACAAGTAGATATTAAGGAGCCCTGGATTGTTCTTTGTAATAGAGAAAGAAAAGAGTGTCATTGGCAGACTATGGTTCAATTGATAAGTTGAAGGAGAAAATGGGTCAGAGTGTTTCGGGCAGTGGATTTGGGGGTCAATCTCCTGTAGCTAGATGATCAATGGATTTGAAGGATAGACATATCTAACATGCAATTTGAATTTACTTTTACATATTTTGCTGATGTATTTTTTAGTAGAATTGTGCTTAACAATATTCTGTATTCCTCTTTGGTTTTGGTGAGTTTTGGGATCTCGAGGAGCAGAGTACATGTCCCATAATTATTATATTTAAATATATAGATATATATTTTTAAAGGCCCCAATCCCTGTCTCTAACAAAGAGTTTAGGGTTGTTAAACTTAAGGGTATCATAAAGTTGATCCATGGCTACAAGTATAACTTCTTAGAAATAAGCTCCAGACATTGATATTGGTAATACTGTCTAAGAATTATTTGATAATTTAGCTAACACTGTGGCATCTCTCCCATAAAATATTTCATACTATCATTAAAACTACATGAAACCATTTATAAAAAGGCATTTTTACTTTTTATTGCTTTACAATTTTCCAGGTTCCAGGAAGGCTAAGTTCTATACCTGCTATAACTTTTTGCAGCTGCAACTGAAAAAAAAAATACTAGCTACAATAAAATAGGCAATAAAATGCTCTTGAAATACACACACCATATATATAACTATTATACACACATAGATATAGATATGGATATCTCTATCTCTATCTCTATCTCTATCTCTATCTCTATCTCTATCTCTATCTCTATCTGTAGATCATGCCACCATACTCCAACTTGGGTGACAGAGAGAGACCCTGTCTCAAAAAAAAAAAAAAAAGACAAAAAACCCCTAACTCTCTAATGCTTGTTCCAAGTTAACAGCTCCAAGCTTTTATTTTTACATTCTTAAAATTACAAATGTTATATACATGCATCAGAAAAATTAGAAGTATTGAGCATGGTTAAATATGTTCACAACCCCAACTCTTTTAATGGTAAACATTTTTATTATTTCATTCCTGATTTGTTCCCCTTAAGGCTGATGGGTTTTGCCTTCTGTCCCTCCCTCTCCCCCTCCCTTCCTTCCTTCCTTCCTTCCTTCCTTCCTTCCTTCCTTCCTTCCTTCCTTCTTTCCTTCCTTCCTTCCCTCCTTTCTTCCTTTCAAGTTTGTTGTTTCATTTGTTTTTATTTTTATTTTTTGAGACAAGGTCTTGTTTAGTCACCCAGGCTGCAGTTCAGTGGCATGACCATGGCTCACTGCAGCCTTGAATTCCTGGGCTCAAGTGATCCTCCCAACTCAGCCGCCTGAATAGCAGCGACCACAGGCACACACCTCCATGCCTGGCTAATTTTTTGATTTTTCTTGTAGATATGAGGTCTCACTATGTTGCCCAGGCTGGTCTCGAACTCCTGGACTCAAGCAATCCTCCCTCCTCATCCTCCCAAAGTGCTGAGATTATAGATGTGAACCACAACTGCTGGCCAGTTGTTTTAAAACAACTGTTTTTTTTTTTTTTAAGTAAGGAAATACATCATCTGTTTGTAAGATAGCTCTTGTAAAATAAAATGTGTTTAAATATAAAACAAAATAAACTCCAGTGATGAGATACTACATACATCATGTGAAAACAACAGTCTGATCTTCATGTTATGAGTACTAGAATTACAAAATCACTACACAATTAAAAAATAAAAAATACATTTTTAGAGCCAAAAATTACTAAGCGGAAAATGTCCAAGTTTCCAGTTTGGCAAAGATTGGATATAGTTATATGAAATATTTAATAAACTGAATTTTCCCACATTGTGTAAACAAAATGACTAAGTCTGTGTCTGGCGATTACAGTCTGACTCCATAGCTACACAAAACATGCAGTTTTGTATAACCGTAGTTCTTAGGTTAAGAGAGGGCAGGTAAAGTGACTGCAGAGAACAAAAATGTGGGAAGAAAAAATATTGTATACCAGATAGCATACAATAATGGTGAAAATAAAGCCTATTAATGCATCTCCTAATGATGCAAAGGTCATCTTCCAACTTTGAAAAATGAATTAAGAAAGGGCAAGAGTTTAAATAATTGCAATGTCACATGAAAAAATCCGCATGTGATGGATAAAAACACAATGGAGGATTTATACATGTTAGTTGGAAAAAAGAAGAGCTGTCAACTTTCTTTGTCCAAATTAAGAAAGAGTAACTAAGTTTGTCAATATCTAACATCACTTATACTGTTGTTAACAAATTAATAATAGCAATTCTGGCTCCATGTACTAATTAGAACTTTTGACCACGTGCTGATTGAACCCAGTGAGGGAGGACACCAAATAAACCTATGTTTATTTTTAGTTTAATTTGGTACATTCCATTCTTTTTTTAAAGCATTTGTCAGCAAACAGATTTAGTAAAAGAACAGGCTGAGTTGGCCTATATAGCTATGGATCCCTGAGATTGCTTTGGCTAGTTAAATCTCAGTTTTATTGAATCCTTAATAACAGGCATAGGATTTGCTGGGAGAGGAGGAGTATTGAAAAGATCTGTACAAGATGTTTTCTGAGAGCCCAACAGAAAAGCTCTTAGGTTCCTGGTTCAGTGGTATTTTTCTTTATATCAAGTTGTTTCTTTATTTTTGTTTTATTATTCCCACTCAAAGCAAGACTGTTAGCATCTTCACTTGTTTTATCTCTTCTGGGTTTTTTTTTTTTTTTTTTTTTTTTTGGCGGGGGTGTGGCGCGATGGTGAGGAGGTATTCCTCTTTATGAGGTGAGGATGTCCTCTTGACTTCTACTACAGGATTAGGTAATTTTGTTTCTCCATTTCCTGAAAGACTAGCTTGGTTTACCAGATGTGTTAAAGAAAAGACTCTAGGCTAAAGAACAAAGACTTTGTTGGTGGAGAAATAGCTGATTCTGTTGCAGTTTGAGGAATGCTCTCACTCTATTAACTTTCACTGAAATTTACTTGTGGCACAGAAACTTCAATAGCCTTTATCTTGGTCACAGATGCTGCTATAACAGCTGTTGCAAGACTATATCTGCACTGATAGCTCTCAGAACAGTTCAATGAACCAGTCTTCAGAGCACAGGCAGATTAAGGCACAGGCTTGCTGTTATCACTGTCCATTGAAAAGCATTGCAGCAATTTTCATGCATACTTCAAAAATCTTGGTGTTTATTGCTTGCCTATAAACTGTATCTATGCAAGACTGAATATCATAGGAGAAATCAAGATTGAGGTTGCCTGAGTGTTTTGTTTTTGTAAACACTAACTCAATCACCTGTATTGTATGAAATTCTTCCTTATTCTTTTTAATCATCTTTTAATTCTTACTGTGTAACAATTGTTCCCTGTTCCTGGCTAAAATTCTGGACATGCTCCCTAGTTTTTCCAGTCTCTCTTAACCAATAAAAATATTTTAATATCTTCCAAGCATTAACAAATTCGATTTCATTTCATAATGACTACTCCAACTCAGTGTTATTTCAGATGCCAACATTATTCAGTGTTAAACTTTTCTCCTCCCAAACTCAGATCTGCTTGAGTACTGGAAGCCTACAGTAGGAAAAGGATGTGAACTGGATTTCTGTCTTAGTTGTTTGCTAATCACTATATGACTGGGTAAATGACTGGCTTAGTTGGAACCTGGTGTTAGAAAACACTGGTGATAGTATTTTTCCATGATGCCTTTCTATCACCATGGCATACATTAATGGAGTACTTAGCAATTTTCCTATTGAGGATCTCCCATTTCAACCCTTTGGTGAGGGGAATGCCTTGTGTCTAGCTGTCTATATACACCTTCATCCTTGCCCCCTGGGTCTTTAGCTGTTTATTTTTCAGTTGGTATTCCTGTGTTTCCTCAGTCAGTCATCTGTGCTGGAGTGAATCCTCAGAAAACTCCAGACTGTACCGCTTTCTCAAGGTCGTATTTGGTCCCCAGAAAACCTTCACCTGTGCCCTACCTTTGCTGGAAAAGGAGCTGGATCCCAGGGCAGCCCTCTCTACTCCACCATCAATAAGGGGTAGCACCAGCCACAGATCTTGCCTTTAGAATTCATGGGTATAAGTCACATGTCTGTCCTCTTGTTCTTCACACCCTTGGAAACATATTTGAAACTCTCCTTAGGGATCCTGAAGCTCCTCTCATGAATTGAGGTGAGGTGAGGTATAGCACACTTAAATCTTTCTTGAAATAAATCATCTCTCCACTACACACTCACTACATAACCAGTAAAGTGGCTAAAATGAAAAAGAAAATACCAAGTGTTAGTGAGGATGTGGAGAAACTGAAACCCCTATATATTTCTGGTGGGAGTATAAATCGGTATAATCACTTTGGAAAATACTTTGGCATTATGTACTAAAGCTTAACATATCCATTCTCTGTGACCTAGTCATTCCACTCTTTAGGCACATGTGCACGTATGATCAACAGAAGTGTATTCTTAAAAACCCTATTAATAATTGCCCCAAACTGAAAACTGCCCAATTACCCATTAACAAAAGAATAAAAAATAAAATGGTGGTATAGTCACACAATGAAATGAAATATGGTATTAAGAATGATCATTCTACAATTGCACATGCCAATATATCAAAAACACAAGATGAAGCCAGGCACAAAAGAGTACACACTATATGACATCATTTATATAAAAGTCTTAACACAGGCCAAGTTACTCTATGCTGTGTTACTAGTAAAGAATAGTGCGGTGACTAGCTAGAAAAAACTTGAGTGAGGAATATGTGGTGCTAGCAATATTCTATTTTCTGATCTGGTGCTCATGTCATGGGTAATTTTAGTTCATAAAATGTATTGAACTGTTGCTTGTAATATGTGCATTTGTATTTTGAATATTATGCCTCAAAAAGAACTATAAAACGGAAGTAAGAAACAACAAAAATGAAATTAGCCATCTTAACTTTTTAATCTCAATATCTTATATAAGGTTTGGAGGGTTGATCTGTTCATGTCACCATCTTTGCAAATCCTGCATAGATGAACCAGCCCCTTGGTTTAGAGAGTGTGGTTACCAGGCAACTGTTGTTCTCTTCTCAGCCTTTGTGACCTCTTTCTGAGCCTACGGTAGGAATTGCATTTATCATCTAGTTACCTAAATGACATCCTTGGTACAAAGATATCAGAAGCTTGGGGATCCAAACGAGGACTCTGACCATGCTCATTGGCAGGGACTGTGGGTCACAAGGTGCCAGAAGCCATAAAAAGATAAAAAACGTACCAAATGGGAAATGAATTGACAGCCATTTTTACATTAGCCTTGAGAGTCACAATTCTGGGCTCATTCTGCCCAGTTCTTCTGGTAATATCCCTATGAGTTCACTATGGGATATGGATTGACAAAGTGATGAAGCTGAATTGGAAGAGCATTTATGGAAAATATGTCAGAGAGCAGAAGAGGTTTCACCTACATTAATCTTTGTCAATTATTTTATTATGATGCAGGCAGGCACTCTGAAACTCACAAATATTTAATATTCTCTGAGCCAAATTGTTCTCTCTTACATCCATATATACCCTGTAACCCAAAAAGATTGCACCTATTGAAGCAGTACCGAAGTCGCAGGAGATTTGGACAGACTCTGAAAGAGGATGACTACTAGCCACGGGCATGAAGATTTTTCCATTTCAAGATACATACTGATAAGTTGTTTTCCTTTTGACAATGTTAACAGCAATATGCAGGATTATCAATTTTCCCACATCCCCTTAAGTATTAGCTAATATTTACTTAAATATATGCATATATGGTTTTCATAGGTAGAAATGGCCTTTCAAACATTTTAAATCTAAAGACAAAGCATATTAGCTATAATTTTATCTTCTACTTTTTAGGAAAGTTTTTTTCAGCACAAAGTGACTATTTCATCAAGTTGCTGTTCTGTCTAAATGTGAAACTGAGCTTCTGTTCAATCTCTAGGAAAGAAACTCCATAAAAGATATAAGGACAATGGTCTCAGATTTCTCAATTAGTTTAACAATTGACAATTACGTTAATCTGAGAAGACCTTGGTGGATACTATCTGAGATGGTATCACTCTTTTGTTCATTGTATTATCTAGTGCCAAGCTAATGCCAGAATTAATTATTAGCAATTATTGTTCTTTCTTTCAATAGCTGGCATATGGAGCAAATTCTGTTTTTTTCTTGTTTGTACAATAGTTTATTATAATGCATATAACTTCAGAATAGATTTTCTTATAACTATCTGAAATTATTATTATCATGATGGACAAGACTATTTCTGAATGGGAAAATTTCTTAAGATAAACCAAGGATAATAATGAGGCTCTTACAATTTTCTATTTTTGTATGTTATGAAGCAATAAGAGATATCCTTTACAAAACTTACTGAGAATTTTACAGCACTATTCCAAGATGCTTCATACTTTGTTAAATTATTACAATAGAGTTAATGATTATTCTGTTAGTGTTAGTATTCTTAATAATAATTTTAATTATCATATACCAATTTTTAAGTTTTATTGAGGTATATTTACACACCATAAAATTCATCAATCCCAAGCATACGATTTGATGATTTTTAGTAAATTAGAGAGCTATTTAACCATCATCACAATTCAAAAAGATTCCACTTTCTTATTTACCGTCACTCCTCAGACCCACCCCCAACCAGGGGTAACAACTAATCTGTTTTTTTTTTTCTATGTATTTCCTTTTCTGGCCATTTCACATATATGAAATCATACAATATGTGGTCATGTTTGTCTGTCTTCTTTCACTTAGCTTTTTAGAATTTTTTGAGTTTTTACTTATTTATTTTTTGATTTTTTATTTCCATTGGTTATTGGGGAACAGGTAGTGTTTGGTTACATGATTAAATTCTTTAGTGGTGATTTGTGAGATTTTGGTTCACCCATCACCCGAGCAGTATACACTGCACCCAATTTGTAGTCTTTTATCCCTCACCCCCTTCCCAGCCTTTTCCCCTGAGTCCCCAAAGTTCACTGTGTCATTCTTATGCCTTTGCATTCTCATAGCTTACCTCATCGTATGTTATGAGTGAGAACATACAATGTTTGGTTTTCTGTTCTGAGTTACTTCACTTAGAATAATAGTCTCCAATCTCATTCAGGTCTCTGCGATAGATTCATCTATGTCGTAGCATGTACCTGTAGTTCCTCCCATTTTATTGCTGAATAATTATCTATATATACTACATTTTGTTTATTCATTCTTCAACCAGTGGACATTTATGTTGTTTTTAGTTTTTGACTATTATGTACAATATCGCCAGGAACATTTTCATTCAAGTCTATGTGTGGACAAATGTTTTCATTTCCTGTGGGGTAGATACCTATGAGTAAAACTGTTGAGTTGAATAGTAAGTTGTTCCATTCAGTGTCTCAACCACAGGCAGTTGTGATGTTGGCCTTCCCTGATTGCTTGCCACCAATATCACCACTGTCTGAGACAAGGCCCCTGAACATGTATTACCAAATCAAGCTAGACTCCACTGGCAGTGAAATTCCTGATTGTGATGACTTGCTCCATCCTAGTAGAACTACCACCCAGAATGAGCTTGATGGGGAAGGAGTAAGGAGGGGAAAGAAGAGAGCAACTATAGGGTAAAATGCAGTAGACTGACATTCTTCCTACCTGAAACCCCAAGTTCAGCAGTTTTTCAAGCATAAACAAATGCTTTCCGGATTGTTGCATGCCTTTGGTCAATTTTCAAACAATATTGAAATGAATGTTTTGACAATTTTATCTAGTTGTATCATTGTGTTTTGGGCAGAAGGTTTGCCAATCTCCTCATTCTACAATTCCGGAAGTCTTCCCTCCTCCAAATACCAGTTTTCTAACTTAAAAAAAATGAAAACAAATATATCAAGGCACCTTCTTCAAGCGCATACATGTTCTTCAGGCATATACATGTTTACTGAAATAGAGCCTTAGGGGAAGAAAGGTTGTTAAATGAGTGTCAATAGGCTAGACAGTATTATTTCATGAAAATATACTAAGTTGAGAATACAATCAAATATAACATGACATCTGATTATCCCTTCTGATTTGAGGAAGCTATACAAAATATGCCTTCCTTCCTTGCCTGTGAACCCTTAGCTCTGTCTCCTGAACTCAGGGAGTCTGTTGGGCTTCCTCTGGGTTCGTTCTCCATCAACCATGGGTTGAGAACTCTGTAAGCAGTAAAGTGGGGCAAACATAGATAGGGTTCATCTTACTTGTTTTCCATCTTTCAAGAATAACTGTCCTTCATTGTACATTGGTTTTTTTTAAAAAAAAACAGCATTTCGTATATCTAATATGATTGTTTTGTTTTCAGGTGGGAAAGTAAATCTGGTACATTTTACTGGATCCTGTTCAGAAGTGCAAGTCACAATCAATAACTTTTTGATCCTATATGTTGTATTATTTTTCTTCTCAACTTAAAAAATTATTTTTAATTTTTGTGGATACATAGGTGTATATATTTATGGGGTTTATGGGATATTTTGACATAGGCATACAATGTATAATAATCACATCAGGGTAAATGGGGTATCCGTCACCTCAAGCATTTATCCTTTGTGTTACATACAATACAATTATACTCTTTTAGTTGTTTTAATATGTACAATTAAACTATTATTGACTATAGTTAGCTTGTTGTGTTTCCAAATGCTAGACCTTCTTCATTCTTTCTATTTTTTTCTCTCCATCAGCCTTTATTTTAGGTTCGGGAGTACACATGCAGGTTTGTTATATGAGTAAATTGCATATCACTGGGGTTTGGTGTACAAATGATTTCATCACCCAGGTAGTAAAGAGTGCATGGTAGGTAGTTTTTCAACCCTCATCCTCCTCCCATCCTCAACCCTCAAGTAGGCCATGGTTTCTATTGTTTTTCTCTTTGTGTGCATGCGTACTCAACGTTTAGCTCCAACTTATAAGTGAGAATATGGTATTTGGTTTTCTGTTCCTGCATTAGTTTGCTGAGGATAATGGCCTCCAGCTACATCAATGTTCCTGCAAAGGGCATGATTTTATTCTTTTTAATGGTTTCATGGTATTCCATGGTGTATATGTACCACATTTTCTTTATTCAATCTACCTATGATGGGCATGTAGGTTGACTATGTCTTTGTTATTGTGAATAATGCAGCAATGAAAATACGAGTGCATGTGTCTTTTTGATAGAACAGTTTATATTTGCTTGGGTATATACCCAGTAATGGGATTGCTCGGTCAAATGGTAGTTCTGTTTTACGTTCTTTGAGAAATCTCCAAATTGCTTTCCATGGTGGCTGAACTAATTTACATTCCCACCAGCAGTGTATAAGTGTTCCCTTTTCTCCGTGTCCTCACTAGCATCCTTTATTTTCTGCCTTTTTAATAATCGTTATTCTGACTGGTGTGAAATGGTATCTTATTGCAGTTTTGATTTGTATTTCTCTAATGATTAGTGAAATATTGTACTTTTTAGCACGAGGATTTTCATTTGATTTTTTGTTTAGTAGTATTTCTATTTCTGTATCCATGTGGTAGGTTTCTATGTGATATATATTTTCTTTGTAAAGTTTATATTTGTACATTTTTAAAAAAATACAAATGGCTAATGACTTTTAATCAGAAAAAGACGAAAATTAATGTAGATATTGTATGCAATTTTGTTCTCAAGTTAGATATAAAACCCTAAAGGCTTTCATAAGGGAAAGAAAGAAAATGAGAGTGTAGGTGATGAGAGAGAGTAGGGGAGGAGAAACATATATCGAATTGAAATAGAGATAAAATTACAAAAGAACTGCAAGATCTACCAAGACATGTATTAACATTGACATAGTATCTACCACTTGCCTACCCAATGATAGGTATTATATATACATCTACATTACCTTTGTTTCACTTTACTTTTTAATTTCTTATTGAATTTTTTTTTGTATTTATTCACTTTCAATTTTTTTGAGAAACTTTTCTTCTAAATGTTGAGAATACAAGGATAAAACCTGATTTAGAACTTATATTGTAGGAGGTTATTGAAGTTGACCATGAATAAGCAAATGACTTAGTGGTCTAAAGAAGAAAAAAAATGGAGTCAGAATGTATCTACCCTGTTACTTCTCATCTCAAGCTTTCCATTGGCAAATGATTTGATGAGCACATATATCTCTATCAGTCAATTTTTTAAAAGGCTTCTCTGGTAATTCTGATTGATAGTTAAATGTTTAAGAACAGCTTCTCTAACACATGATTTTACCTGCTTGTATTGCAAATAACCAGATCTAAAATCTTATTACATTTGTTTAGTTGTTGAATTTTATCACTGTATTTAAGCTGGTTTAAACTTCCCTTCCTATCACACTCTCTGGGCATAAGCCAGTGATGGGAAATTTATGCAAAAGCCATTGAGTTAGACATTAGGTAAATTAAGTACAACTCCTAGATTGCAAGAACTTTATGCGGAATATACAACGAACAAACCAAAACCCATCATATTAGGGAGCCTGTAATATATATCTTTGAAAGAGTGCAACTGAAGTGTTACAGTGGCTTAAAGAGTTAAATGCTTTCTAGAAACAGGCTTTTGATAGGATTAAAGAAGAGACAGATTTTAAGATAGGTAGATACGTGGAAAATCAGTGCATTCCAATAAATAACATACACAATAGAAATATACATTCATATCTTCCCTGAAGTGATTTGTAATCTTGATGAGCTCAAATAGTGTTCTCATATGAATTCTACTAGATCATCATATTTTCATTTGTTACATCACCATAGATTCTGTCTCCCAGACTTGACTTAATAGATAATAGTTTATCTCTGCCTTTTTTGGGAACTTCCTTGGAAATGGATTGACTCTAGTTCAATAGCTGACACCAACACAAGTGGATCTTTTGTTTCAGAATTTAACATATTGACAATTAGTTTCTAGAGTGAGGTAGAATATAATGCATAAACACCAACTATCAATCACTAACTTTACACTTTACTAATTCCGTATGATGTGGTAAAAATGATGAATAGGGCCATACTTGGAGGAGGAGTAGGGTAGAGGCAATGGCCCAAAGATCAAGTTTGCAGGTGACAAAGCATTTTAACCAACAAAATTACCATGACTTTCTTGAGTGTCTGCTCTGTAAAATACACCATGCTAGGTGACAGATAAAAAGAAATATAGGATGTGATGTTGCCTGCCCTCAACAGCTTATAATTGAATTGGAAGTAAATCCCTCCTCTACATAAGAATAGCACAACAAAATGCATACAGAAACTAAAAGAAAACTCTCCAGCAGCAGTTTTTATTTTTATTTTTAAGTTCCGGGGTACATGTGCAGGACGTGCAGGTTTGTTACATAGGTAAACATGTGCCATGGTGGTTTGCTGCACCTATCAACCCATCACCTAGGTATTAAGCCCAGCATGAGTGCATTAGCTACTTTTCCTAATGCTCTCCCTCCCCCAACCCCATCCCCCAATGGGCTCCAGTGTGTGTTATTCCCCTCCCTGTGCCCATATGTTCTCATTGTTCAGCTCCCACTTGTAAGAGAGAAAATGCGGTGTTTGGTTTTCTGTTCCTGCAATAGTTTGCTCAGGATAATAGCTTCCAGCTCCATTCATGTCTGTACAAAAGAAATGATCTCATTCCTTTTTATGGCTGCATAGTGTTCCATGGTGTATATGTACCACATTTTCTTTATTCAGTCTATCATTGATGGGCATTCGGGTTGATTCCATGTCTTTGCTATTGTGAATAGTGCTGCAATGAACATATGTGTGCATGTATCTTTGTAATAGAATGATTTATATTCCACTGTTGGTGGAAATGCAAATTAGTTCAACCATTGTGGAAGACGATGCAGTGATTCCTCAAAAATCTAGAACCAGAAATAGCATTTGATGCAGCAATCCCATTACTGAGTATATACCCAAAGGAATAGAAATCATTCTGGCAGCAGTTTTTAAATAACTTCTATGAAGAGTAATGCAAAGACCTTAAAATGGAATTACCTGAAATAAAAAAATAAAATAATTATAGTTTATTTGTTTTAAAAGGTAACAACCTGTAAGGTATGAGGAAGCTGAGGCAAAGACACACACAAACACACACACTCACACACACACACATTTTTTTTTGTAGCGATGGGGTTTTGCCATGTTGCACAGGCCACATAACTGGAATCTGTGGGGCTCAAAACTATGTCTGATGGACTCCAGTGCCCAAGCTGGCATGTCACTTCCCTGTAAAGGAATAAGCATGAATCTTACTTTGTACCAATGACGGGGCAACACAATGCTTTTACATAGTTTATAACCCTTTTCTTTATCCTATTCCCAAGTTCTCCACCTGTACACACACACACACACACAAACACACACACACACAGACACACACACACATCTTTTTATCAGTAGTAATGTTTAATTATTTATGCCCATGCTTTCCAATGGCTCATTGTGAATTAGCTCAGCAAGTTTAGAGGGACTTCATACTTATATAGAGCTGTCCTTTTTCTTCTAGAAAGAAAAGGGAAGGACAAGAAGAGTCTGGGCTGCACTGCAGAGCTCTCTCATGCCATTTGAAAATACTTTACTGTTCACTTGCTTATCTCTCAATATGTCTCTCTCTCTCTCTTTCACTCAAACACACACAGACACACACAGACACACACACACTCACACAATCAGTTTGTCAGTTAATTGCCTGTGGCTAAAGTTAATGTTCTAACAAACTAGGTATTAACTGAAGTAATGAGTGGTATCATCTAAGTTATCACCATTATAAACCATATTTAACAGTTTAGAAAATCAATAATATTATTAAACAAAGTTTAGTGCTTCTGGAAGAGTTCCTTGGCAAACAGTTGATTTCTGACAGATTGTGACTAATTTTTCTGCTTCCTGGGAGGTAGAGCATGTTCTTCTGCCTTAGTAACTATTAAGAGTTTGTGCATTTTGAAAAAAGTCACACACACACACACACTATATATGTGTGTGTGTGTGTGTGTGTATATATATATTTATGTTTTTATAGAGACAGGGTTTTGCCATATTGCCCAGGCTGGTCTTGAACCCCTGGGCTTAAATGATCTGCCCACCTTGGCCTCCTAAAATGCTGGAATTACAGGCATGAACCACTGCGCCCGGCCACACACACACACATACGTGAACCATAGTACTACATTTTAACTTCTATCAGTGAGGCTGCTTATTTATAGATCTATAACTGAGGAGAAGGCAGGCAGTGGGGGTGGCGACAATCCAGGCCCGATGAGTGTTCTTCTTTGATTTCTCCACACACAAACCCTTTCATTGCCTTGGGATAAGTAAATGAAAAGTAGGGAGTAGCGTGACATACTTGAGAGTTTTCTTTAAATGCGAGTTTGCCGTCCCCAGCAGTCAGGAATGGTACTAATCTGGTGGAAGGACTCTTCATGCTGTGGCTATATACTTAAAGTTGCTATTTACAAATGTCATCTTGGAGCTGCCAGATAGAGGAATGCAGATTCACAGAAGACTTAGCGGCAGCAATTCCAAGGGAAGATCATCTGTGCTCTGTCAAAATATTTCCCTTAACTGAGCTTTTGGAGACTCAAGTTGTCGGAAAATAACTGGGAAATATTTGGTAGGACAACAAATAGAAAACAACACCATTCCGACTGAACATTCTTGAAAGAACGAGTCATGGCCTGTATTTAAGAGTGTGCTATTCTAATTGAAATTTTCCATCTCATACACCAAGTCCCTTCATTAAGCACATCCTTATAGGTCTTATCCTTTGTGCATAAAATCTCATTTTATGTTTACTTTTTCCCTCTTCACTACTATATATTCTACAGCAAAAAGTTGTAAACATGAATGCATAAGTTATTAATGCACCACAGGAGCAAAAATATGGCAAATTCTTTGTAAAAGGATAAAAGTGACATAGTATAATGTAGAATTAAGCACACTCCACTGAGAGACAGGACACCTGCTTTCCTCTTTTGAATTTGTGACTAAACTATTGGGCAACCACTGGAAATTGCAAACATCCCTGTACCTAAAGACTCTCATTTGTAGAATGAGGAAATTGAATGAGATATTGCTTAATGTACCATTATATTCTGTAGTATACTATTATATTCCAGCGATTACTGCACAACTCCTACATGGTAACCATGATGCTAAACATTGTCCTGTTTCATTTGATCCTCATCACACCCTTGAGATGTAGGTGTCTTCAACCTCATTTCACTCCTGCAGAGCCAGGCCTTGGAGAGAATAAGGAGAGTGCCATTGGTACAGCCTGAAAGTTGCTAGGCTGGTCCTTTGTATTCCGATAAATGTACTGTGCTCCTCACCTGAACAAAAACGTTATTAATGGGCACAGGTACTTCTTGTCATCCAAGCTGTCCTTCTAGGATCCTGTATTTCAAGTACTTGACAGATGAACAAACTATATGAATTTGTCAAAGCGTTGGAGTACAAGTTGATTAACAGCCACTTCCCTGAGCTCCTAGCCCTTCTTTGTTGTTGCTCTAGACAACAACCATCGCCCCCGCCACCACCACCAGATAATCCATCCAGCAACTAGGAAAGAATGCCGGACACAATCTTCTAGGACTCGCTCCAGTATTAGAGCCTTTATCCACTCTGCCTGGACACAACACTGTACTACCATTTGTGAAGTGCTTTAAATAGTACCCTTGACATTACTATCATAGCCACCCCTCCTTTCCTTTTACCTGCAGGCCTCGGACAAGATGAGCTGACTTCTGCCCTAAAAAGATGTTTTCCAAAGTTCCTCATTGAGGGTTAAAGTTGATTTAGAATTGAGGCTAATTTAGCTGAGATTTTCAAAAGCGGCTTCTCAAGCTCTTTGCCTGGGCTCGGTTTCATTACTCTGACTTTGTATAGGGACCTGGTTCCCGATGATCCCTACTTCTCTAGAATGTCTTCAGCTTTGCTGGCCCTTCTGTCCATCCTTATTGTCAGTACTTGCCTGACACGTCCTCCTCCCCTGATTACCAGTTTGCGAGATGATCTATTCCTTTTAAAACTTGTACACATTTTATGCCCTGACCTAAGACCTCTTCTGTCCTTCAGCAGAATTTATTCCCTCAAAAATGCATTTGGCTGGTTTGAGGCCTCTTGACTTCTATTCAACCCAAGGCTATAGGCTTCTGGGGAGTTTACTAATGTTATATCTATCTTTCTACCTTAAAAGTAACAAAGGTGTTTTCTTCTTGGCTGCTCAATTTTTTACTCCTATCGTTACCACTCTCCATTATACAAAATATTTTACTTATTGACCTTATTTTGTAGTAACATAGAAGGTAAGCTCTATTAAGGTAGGATTTATTTCTATCTTGTTGACTGATGGGTTTCAGGTGCTTGAAACAAGACCTAGTATAATTAGGTTCTTGGAAAATATTTGTTGAAAGGTTGAATAAATGTATGGACCCATACCCTAGTGCCTTTCTGCCTTTAACCATTGTGTTACAAAAGTTATCTCCTAATAATTTTCATATTATATAAACTAAGAATAAATAGATCATTGCATAAAACCAGAAAATAATTTGGCAGAAAATTTTTGCCCTAGAATAGACAGAGTTGTGCTTGGTCAGAAGAGTGGTGGAGAATTGATCTGAATGGGTAAATTGTGTGAGCTGAGTCGGAGGTGGACTAGAGGCCAGAGTAGCTATTGTCCTAATTACTCAGTGAACTTCATGAAATTTGTCTGTAAATAACATACTTATCACCCTCACAGACCTCTCTGCACAAATGCTTTCACATGAATTTGAGCTCTCATATCCCTTTCTAGGAGGATTTTATGGATGTATTTGGCATGTCTGCTGCAGTGTGAAGCTAATTTACCTTCAGGAATATGTTCTCAATACAGGCCACAGCAGGCAGGCTTCAGGTACACCCCGTTCACTGCCATATCAGAGGCTGATTGCTGTGCAGAGAGTTTCATGAAAATTATTTTATTTTGTATTTCTAGATTTGCCCCTGAAATAGTTTTTATCATTGTATTGATGATCTTAATCAAACTACAACAGAAATTCTGAAAGTAATTAGGCTTAAGTAAAACATAGATGCATACATACCACCAGCCAAACTCATGAATACCAGTAACAAGCATTTACCATGGTCATTTCTGATATTGAACATTGATTCAATGTTGTGAAAAGCTGTATTTTTAAATGCTTTTTTTCTAGGATGTTGATCACTACCCACAAGCCATGACCCTCCTCCAGGAAACTAATTCACCCACAGCCTCTCCTGCCTCAATAGGCACGTTTTGTAACCTAAATTCAAGTTCAGGCCATATCAAGGTGGACAGGAGAGGACTTCTGACTGAAGACTCATTAATCCATAGACAGCCCTATACTTTGTGATCTGATAGAAGAATTATGCCAACCCAATTTTCTTTCTCAATAATTTGAACACAGGCAGGGCGTGGTGGCTCACACCTGTAATCCCAGCACTTTGGGAGGCTGATGGGGGAGGATCACTTGAGCCCAGGAGTTCAAGACCAGCCTGAGCAACAAGGCAAAATCCTGTCTTTACCAAAAATACAAAAATCAGCCAGGCATGGTGGCAGGCGTGTGTAGTACCAGATACTCAGGAGGCTGAGGCGGGAGGATGGTTTGAACCTGGGAGACAATGGTTGCAATGAACAAGGATCATGCCATTGCACTCCAGCCCGGGTAACAGAGTCAAACCCTGTTCCTGCCCCTGCGAAAAAAAAAAAAAAAAAATTTGAATACAAAGAGTAAGGAATAATTTACCAATTGGAACTGCAGGCAGAAGCTGAAGGAATGCAGTGAGAATATAAAAAGTTAACATCCACCGAATGCCTACCATATGCCTGACACTATCCAGCATGTTAAACAGGCTATCTTTTACATCTCCATAACAGCTCTATGGCCTAGGCATTGCTCTTAATTTGCAGGCCCACAGAAAATAAGTTATTTAGTTACTTGGCTATGCATTAGCTAGTGGGGCCAGGATTCAAGCCTAGGTCTATGTGATTTCAGAGGCTCTCCTCTTAATCGTTGTATGGTACTGATTACAAAGGAAAGAGACTTTGTTCAAGTTCAGGTGGAGGATAACCCATGAGCATCTAGAGAATACCAGTTGTCTGTGAAGAGAAGTGGAATGGAATGAAATGGAACAGAGCAAAGGAAGGATAGCTATTGAGAAAATATTTCCTAGGAGAAAGAAGGAGGGAGAGGCTGGTCTCAAGAACTGCTTTAGTTTAGTGTGGTGTTCTGCTGTTAGATTTAATTTCAAACCATCTGTACTCTTGCACATTACTTGAGAAATTCTTTGTCCTTTGCCAATAAAATAATTTTTTAAAACTTGTATGTACTAATCAGAACCATAAAAATCTATTTTAAAGAGAGAACAAACACAATTAAGATGTGTGTGCTACAAGCGTCCCATTCTTTCCTTCTGCTTCTGCCTTCATCTGCCAGCCTATTTCCCTTGGGAAGATTGGTACAGAGATGGACCCAATGAAGCTAGGGCCAGGAGGTCTGATGTTCATTTCTGGTTTGGGAGTTCCTTCACTGAATAGTCTCCTTACAATGAGGAAGACGGTAGCCATAACAAAATACCTAGAGTCCAGTAAATGCCAGCTTCTCTTTCCTCCAATGCCACATGTACTATGCACTTCTGTTGGGAAGCCTTGGTCCCAGGGGTCATGCAACTGCAGATGTGTGCTTCCCCAAATTGCATTACCCAGGCAGCTCTCCATTTTAACAACCACTCCTGGACCCCAGAATCTAAGGTATCAAGGAAGGTCTTGGATAAACTCTTAACACTCATGCGTCTGCTTTATCCGTGGAATAAAATTCTCACCTCCTAAATTGGAGTTTTTTCTAAAAATTCCTCTTTTCCATCTTTGGATCCCTTCACTTTGTTCTTTGCCTTCACTTGCCTTCACTTTGCTCTTTCAACAAGTCCGGGTCAAGTTTTAAACTCATCTCCTGGAGTACCTTCAAATTCTGTCCCTTTGAAAATTGCAAATGAAGAAATGCTCTATAAAGGAAAGACCAGAATGACTTAATCAGTGGTTGAATTGATTCTTTCAGTTTTACAAAAATCTCAGTAACCTCACATCAATTATATGACAATGCATTTAGTTTGCAAAAAGTGCTATGATAAATTAGATATCTAAATATCAGATGAAACCAGGGCTTTCCGGGATTTCCTTAGATATTTCCTGGGCTCGTGTATCTGGGGACCATGTAGGTTGGCTTTTCATAAAGAAAGGTCAAAACTGCAATGGTTTCCTCTGTTACATAGATTATGAATGGGATGATTAATATAACTTCATTGGCCAATCCATCAAAAGACATTATTTTTAATTAAAATAATAAGTAGGAGACATAAGGATACAATTCCATTTTAAAATATACAAGTAAAACCGTTTTTTGTGAGTTTAAAAAGCAGGACACTCGTGCTGGATTCTTTATCTACCATGAGCATCTATTGTTTTTATCTGTTAAAAAGTCCAGTTTATTGAGGTATAATTTAGATACTGTAGAATTTAACATTTTCATGTGTAGTTTGATGAGTTTTGATAAATGTGTACAGTTATATACCCACCACCATAATCATAATATAAAACATTTCCCAAAAGTTCCTTCATGTCGCTTTATAGTAAATGCCTTTTCCCCATTTCCAGGCTCTGTCAAGCACTGATCTCTTTTTTTTTTTTTTTTTTGCTTTTTTCAGAGCGATGTCCTAAAATAGGATCATATGTTTTGTTAACCTTTTGTTCCTGGTACCCTTCACTTAGCATCATGCAGTTGAGATACTTCATATTGTCACCTGTACCAGTAGTTTGCTTCTTTTTAATGCTCAGTAGTATTCCATTGTCCAGAGGTATTGTAATTAGTTTATTCATTTACCAGTTGAAAGATATTTGGGTTATTTCCATTTTTGGCTATTATGATCAAAGCTGCTATGAATATTTTTTTATCAGTTTTTGTGTAAACATGTTTTCATAACTCTTGGGAAAATACACAGGGGTGGGTATTTCTTTTATTTTCAAGTAAATATACACACATATAAAATGAGGTATGAAAACTGTAATTATATATATATAACATATATTATATATACATTATAATATATTATATATTGTTTAATATTTTATATATTATATATAATATAAGTAATTCTTTCAGATGAGACAAATTCATGTATTAACTGGAAACCCCAGGTTATTACATTAACTAAGTCTTTCATTCGAATGAGACTGTTTTGTGTTTAAGGTTTGATACTTTGGTCCTCTCTGAAAAGTACCTGAGAAATAATTCACAAATTTTAATGGAAGCTAAGCCTTTCAAATTCAGCATTTTGTTTTTATTTTTATATTTCAGACAAGATATAATACTTGTTGACTCTATCAGTAGCCTGTTCATCTTTCAAAGGTTTTGATTTTGAATTTTGCATTTCATGATTTTGAAAAACTTTCTAAAACAATACATTTTCAAAATTTCTGTATAGAATGATAAAAATTAACCAGTTTTTCTTCATTGTACACAAAACTCCTTAAGATAAAATTTGTTGATAGAGTAAAAGTTATAAATTTAGTTTAATTATCCTTTGCTACAGAGTTGGAAAGCAATAAAGGGTGGTAAGAAGTTTTAACAGCAAGCACAGTAGATAACTTTAGAGAAAAACATCTTACAGTTTTTCTTCCTTATCTGGAACCCACTAGTTGAGTTTGGTCCACTCAATCCACATGATCATGGGACAAGGTGAGTCCCTGTCTGCCCTCTTGGTAGATCATGACCTCACCTCTCTGCCTGTAGTATTTGAACCAGGATGAATTTCTAGACTATTTTAGGCCAATCAAATGCTTTTCCACAGAAATCTGGACTGACACTGAACTAAAGCTCTTTGTGTGAGTATGTCTGAGTCATAGATGCTCAGGGGCTGCTGAGACAGCTGTTTTTCCTCCATTTAACTGAGAAGAAGAGGATGCTCATTTGCAAGGAGGAATGAAGCAGACGTGCAGAGAAACTGAGACATGAGATGCATGTTCCAATGACATTCTTAGCACTGGTTCCACTCTAGAGTTTCTGATGGTTCCTGAGGCCCAGGACACAGTCTTCTTGTGATCTGTGAAGCACTTAAAGAGGGAAATTTTAGTTTAACAGGGCTTGATATGATTTCTATCACTTACCATCAAAGAGTTTCTAACTGCTATAACCAGAAGTTTTTCACTACTCTCCCCCTAAATAATTGTGGGATTAGATAAGATGCTCAAATTCTCTGAGTTTTGGTGTTTTCTGGGATTGGTGGATAAGAACACAGGATTTGGAGTTAGTCAAAACTGACTTCAGATATGGATTCTACCACTTCTCTTTTCTGTGAGTTGGGAAATGTTGTTTAACTCAATTGAGCACTCTTTTCTCCACTATAAAAGAGAGATAATAGTACCTTGAATTTCTGTGAGATTTTAATGAGGAAATACTTGTAAAATAATTAGGATAATTCCTATTGTGTTGTAAGGGTTCAATAAATGGTGATCCTTGTTATTACTTATAATTCTGTAATTGTTTCTTCCTTCCCTTCCCCTTTTTCTTCTTTCTTTCCATAAATATTTTATTGTTCTATGTGCTAAAACTTATGTTAAGGATATTTCATGTTGTTAAAGGTAAAAGACACATTCCCCCAAAGAACTGGAATTCTCACTGGGAAAGGAGATTCATAAGTATAGCCAAGGTGTCACTTTCCAAGTACAGTAACAGACATGTGTACAGGGGCATTCACCCACAAGTCAGGCTAAGAAGAGAGGCAGCCAAGGTTCACATAGCCCTTTCACAATTTCATTGCCAATGAAGAAAGTAGATGTGGCATACAAGGGCCTACAGGCAATGGCATTTCCTGACTTGAAAGCCTACGTGCAGAGTAAGATCTTTATGAAAGGCTTCTTGAGATTTGGTGATTTCTACTTGGGCCTCTGAGGCCAGACACACTATGATGGTGTCAAGCTCCTGTAAAGAAGAAATAGAGTGGTGGGCTACTGAAGTCACTGACCTAGTCTTTCAAAAAATGACAAAATTACCATATGGTCAATGGACAAATGGTCTTGATAGGCTTCCTCTAATAACCTGTAAAACTCACTTAATGTTTGCTGCTCTAAAGGCCTGTATTCCAATGACTGATGCCTATTACCCAATATCAGAGAGCTCTAATGCAACATTCAAAAATAACAGCACCACAGGTTAAATAAAAACATATTCCTCTAAAAGTCCATCTTGAACTAAACTGTTCCATTTCCTTATTCAAGTTAGAAACAGTGGTGCATTTTGTTGGATTTTATTTTACTTTATTTTATTATGATTTAAATTTAACTTTTAAGTTTGGGGTACATGTGCAGGTTTGTTATATAGATAAACCTGTGTCATAGGTGTTTGTTGTACAGATTATTTCTTCACCCAGGTATTAAGTCTAGTATCCATTAGTTACTTTTCCTGATCCTCTACCACCTCCTACCCTCCATCCTCTGATAGGCCCCAGTGTGTGTTGTTCCCTTCTGTGTATCCATGTGTTCTCATCATTTAGCTCCCACTTACAAGTGAGAACATGTGGTATTTGGTTTTCTTTTCCTGTGTTAATTTGCTAAGGATAATGGCCTCCAGTTCCATCCATGTTCCTGCAAAGGACATGATCTTGTTCTTTTTTCTGGCTGCATAATATTTCATGGTGTATATGTACCACATTTCTGTTATCCAGTCTACCATTGAGGAGCATGTAGGTTGATTCCACGTCTTTGTTATTGTGAATAGTGCTGCAGTGGACACATGCATACATGTGTCTTTATAAAAGAAAGATTTGTATTCCTTTGGGTATATGCCTAATAATGGCATTGCTGGGTTGGACAGTAATTCTGTTTTTAGGTCTTTGAGGAATTGCCACACCCTCTCTCACAATGGTTGAACTACCATTGTGTAGTGTAACTAATGGTTACACTCCTACCAACAGTGTATAAGCATTTGTTTTCTCTGCAACCTCACCAGCATCTGTTATTTTTTGACTTTTTAATAATAGCCATTCTGACTGGTGTGAGATGGTATCTCACTGTGGTTTTGATTTGCATTTCTCTAATGATCAGTGATGTTGAGGTTTTTTTTTGTATGCTTTTTGGCTGCATGTATGTCTTCTTTTGAGAAGTGTCTGTTCATGTCCTCTGCCCCCTTTTTAATGGGATTGTTTTTTTCTTATAAACTTAAGTTCCTTGTAGATGCCAGATATTAGACTTTTGTCAGATGGGTAGATTGCAAATATTTCTCCCATTCTGTAGGTTGTCTGTTTACTCTGATGATAGTTTCTTTTGCTGTGTAGAAGCTCTTTAGTTTAATTAAATCGTATTTGTCTGTTTTTGCTTTTGTTGCAAATGCTGTTGGCATCTTTGTCATGAAATCTTTGCCCTTGCCTCTGTCCTGATGATATTGCCTAGGTTTTCTTCTAGGGTTTTTATAGTTTTGGGTTTTACATTTAAGTCTTTAATCCATCTTGAGTTGATTTTTGTATATGGTGTAAGGAAGAGGTCCAGTTTCAATTTTCTGCATATGGCTAGCCAGTTCTCCCAACACCATTTATTAAATAGGGAATCCTCTCCACATTGCTTGTTTTTGTCAGATTTATAGAAGATCAGATGGTTGTAGGTGTGTGGTCTTATTTCTGAGTTCTCTATTCTGTTCCATTGGTCTATGTGTCTGTTCTTGTACCAGTACTATGCTGTTTTTTGGGTACTGTAGCCTTGTAGTAAAGTTTGAAGTCAGGTAGCATGATGCCTTCAGCTTTGTTCCTTTTGCTTAGGATTTTCTTGGTTATTTGGGCCCTTTGATGGTTCCATATGAATTTTAAAATAGTTTTTTTTTTCTAATTCTGTGAAGAATTTCAGTGGTACTTTAATAGGAATAGCATGGAATCTATAAATTGCTTTGGGCAGTGTGGCCATTTTAATGATATTGGTTCTTCCTATCCATGAGCACGGAATGTTTTTCCATTTATTTGTGTCATCTCTGATTTGATTTGTATTCTCCTTGCAGAGATATTTCACTTCCTTAGTTAGCTGTATTCCTAGGTAGTTTATTCTTTTTGTGGCAATTTTTGGCCAAAGCTAACAGAAGCCGGAAGGCAGAGGAGCCTCTGATGCACACTGCAGGCCTCAGCTTCCCAGGGCACAGAGAAGAGCTGTTGGTAGAACTAGGGCAGATGGAACATAACCCCAACAGTCCCCAAGTCATGATTTGGTTATTCTTTTTGCAAAGTGTCAGGCTTTAGCTGCTGCTTTTTTGTTTGAGTGTCTTTTTTTTTTTTTTTCATTTAAGCAGTCTTTATTTCCACCTCTATTTGCAAATGCTCCCTAGCAATCGACTAATGGAGTAGCTCATTTCACCTATCAGTCAGTTTCTCTACAATAGCTGGCAAACATTGCTCTTTATGTGGTAGCTGGTTGAACTTTATAAATTGTGTTTAGAAACTAGACCCATAATTTTTGAAGATAATAAAATTATATCAGTAACATAGCTTTGGAAGTCCTTTTGAAATAGATGATATTAGAAAAATTAACTTGGGTAGCACGTGTTTAGGGTTGGTGAACTTATAATAATGGAAGCATTTTAGTATTTGGTTGCTTTTTTCCTCCAAAGAATAGACAAAACCTAATCAAATGCTTATGAAACAAATGCCATGCTATAAAATTTCATAGGTTTTATTTGCTTATAACGAACCTAGTGGAGCTGCTTCAGCAATGTGATGGACGATTTTCTGTACCTAAATTGTGGGACCATTGCTCTGATTTTCCATTTTGTTGCTATCCAAGCAGAATGCAGAAGGGTACAATGAGTCTGCAATGCCACATCACATGTATCTTTAGGTCTGATGTTAAATAAACCCGAGAGTAAATATCAAATGAAGAAAGAATATTACCTATAAACTCCATGTTTTAGGATCTGCGCTCTTTATTTCATTCAATTAATTTCTGATGTGAATTTGTTTTGTAACACTATTACACAATATATTTCCTCAAGCTTTGAAATGCACTGTGTCTTTAAGTCTGTATTTTAAAAATTTAACAAATAATATTAGGTGGCTTCTAGATGCAAGCTCTCCCAAAGGACCTGCATGGTATCACAGGATAAGTGGTTCTATCTGTAGTCAGAGATGAGGACACAGTTGACATTTAGATTCTCATGAGGGTTCCCCGGGTGGGTCATGCTGTAAGGTGCTGCACAGCTGCCAAATTGAAAGGCAGGGAATCAGTACAAGTGCACAGTCCATGAACATGAATTTGAGCAAGCTATACAGCAAGATCCCTGTGAAAGGACAGAAAACAAAGGGCATGTCATGAGGTCATGGTGGAGAAGGGGTTCAAAGGATAAACCTCGGGTCTCCTATTCCTCACTCCCCCCAGGAGATTGTGTCAACCTCAAGATGCTGTGGTCTTGGACCTTGTACAAGGGAATACAGAGGAGTCCAGGGTGGCCGCATTCGTGAATAACTAGTGAGTGAAAACAGAGGAGGAAAAAGGAGGCGAGTACTTTCTACTTAGGTCCTTAACAATTATGATCCAGTGGGCTGCTGAGATGTCATTTAACCCCACTCTAGTCAGGGCAGTAAGCACAGGTGATTCCAGGGCAGATGTCCCCATTCCCAAGTACCTTTCATGTAAAATATCTCCAGCCTTCCCTTACGGCTTCTTACCCCTCCCTTGCTGTCTGTATAAAGTCCTGCATTATTCTCCAGTAAGGAAGAGTACTTGAATGTTTCTACTAACATGTAAAGAAGTCAACCCACGTGGGCTCACAGATTAGCATCCGTTCAGATCTGGTACATAGGTGGTTTATTGATTAGTGAGGTCCTCATACCATCTAGACAGAAGAGGACACAAGGCAGGGTCGCTACCTTTAGAATGGGAAGAAGGATATTTCACTCAGGTTCAGAGTTGCCAGGAGAATAAAGGGCCTAACCCTCAAGGGATGGGTGGCATGTTAGGAGAAGGGACAGAGGGGATCCTTAACTGGATGTGTCTCCCCAGAACCTCACTTAGGCCTGGCTCTTCCATGGTGATGTAGCTCATAGGGAAACAGTCCAGCAGGGGTATCTTTCTGAAGCAGAGCCAGGGCAAGGCAAACAAGCCATATTTAACCTTGTCTCTTAGCCAGTCACCTGTAGGGATTTCTTACCTCTTTGCTTTTAAATTTCTTTTGATTCTGTTTCTCTCGTGTTCTTTTGTGATGAAATAGCCACGTGGGACCTGAGCAACTTGGCCCTGAAGTGGCACCTGCTCATCTTGGATTCCACTGTGAGGAGAAGTTATGAGGCAAAGCAAAACGTGAGAGAATTGTCCTTACATTGGGGTCTTTTTAAGAAATACATTTGGTGTATCCTAAGGGAAAAGGAACACATTTGAGCTTCATGTCTATAACTAGACTTTCAAGTTATGATTTGCCATATATTATTTGGTCCTTTTATGGTAAAACAAAAAATTGTAATGTAAATATTGTATTTTATTAAAAGTTCCCTATTAAAGTTAACAGAATAAGAACGAACTAATTATTTCACTGAAGTTGCTAAGTGTTGGCATTGTGCTTGGCACATTCCTGCTATGATCTTAGGAAATGCAGAATTTTAGAAGTATCTAAGTTGGTATTGGTTGGAGATATAAACATATAATCATTTTATTTACAACTGTGATTTAAAAATACTAACCTTCGCCTGATTTTAAATGCAATTTATTTTTCTGTTTTGTTATATATGTAATTCTTAAAGTTACTTATTTATAAATCGAAAGCTAAAATTTATAATTTACTATCTGTATTTTCAGACCCCTGACACTTCATTAACTTCTTGATTCATAAACAATGGACCAAAAGTCCCAGTTGATAGATGCAAACTCTTCTGCTGGATTTATGTACTCTAACCAAGAGCCTTAGTGTAAATCATTGTCAAGTTTACAAATGTTCCTATTAGTTAGTGCTTTAGCTGTCTGATTTGAAAACACCTGCTCTCTTTACTGTCCAATTCTGATATATCTTTTTAATATACAGCACATTCTTATAATTTGTTACTACCAAGTACTGATTTATAAGGATGTTGTAATAAATTTTATAACGTAAATTTTAAAGGCTTTGGATTAGGTACACAAGATTTTTGAAAGCTTTATGGCTGAAAAACAATTCTTAGAAGCCAGAAGTAAATTTTATGTCAATATCCTACAAAACAAGCATGGCATACTCGACTTAAGAATATTTGTATTTTCTTCCTATATCGTCTTCCCATTCCCTGCATTAAGACTTTCCTTTTCATAAAAGTCTGTACCATTGTTGGCTGGACCTAAGCAGACATGCAAAGGCAAACAAGTATTAGTGTTTAACCTGGACAGATTGATATAATTACTGTGTACTAAGCCCCTTGCTGAGTTTTGGGGAGCCTGAATGGTTTTATCTTGGTTCTCCCTTCCATCTGTCCTTTTCTTCTGCTGGGGACACATTGACACATATTTGGATTTAAATCCCTGCTTGGGGAGCTCAGAGCACTTGTTGAGCAGCCTTTTAATTACATATCTGTAAAGTAATTTATTGTTTCCCTGTCTGAGGGCTGAGGGATTTATGTTTATCAGCTTTATGCTCTTGCGTACCGATGACTGGACTACTGGCCAGTCAGGGAGATTCACTCTATAGAGGATTAGGGCAAGGACTTAGGGCATTGAGTAAAATTACCATTTTAGAATAATATCCTTGAAGGTGCTATATACAGTAAGGGGAAATGGATAATTTTCTTCTCATTATTATATCAAATTTAGCAGATCTGTGTGGCTCACTTTGTTCCTTAGATTCATGTAGTTCATGTTTGTATTCTTCTCCCTCTCAGGGTGGGATGTATTGTTGCATGGTGACATTTACTGCAAAGGTTTTATCTTACCAAATTGCTGACAGCTGCCTAAAGCAGGCAATTACAAGCATATATTTTTTTGGATGAACGACCAAATAGTACACAGAAGTTATTATCCTGTAGTCTCCACACAGCCCTGAAATTTATAGAAATCTAAGAGATTTGGGGCAGGGAAAAATGGCGGATGGAAAATTTACCATTTGATAGTTGAGATTGATCATAAAGCATTTTTTAATAAAACATTATTTAACAACACAAATTTTAGAACAAAGTAATTCTGTTTTGTTTTTTTTTGTTGTTTTGTTATTTTGTTTTAGAACAGATCTGCTTTGGAGCTATCCCTGAACCAGGCATTGGGATTGGAGTTGGGTACACGGAGGAACTAAGACAATGTTCTAGAATATCAAAACATGGTCTGTGTCCTCAAGAACAAGTCAAGGTAGTAAGGCCAGTGATATGGTTTGGCTCTGTGTCCCCACCGAAATCTTATCTTGTAGCTCCCATAATTCCCACGTGTGGTGGGAAGGACCCAGTGGGAGATGGTTGAATCATGGGGGCGGGCCTTTCCCCTGCTGTTCTTGTAATGGTGAGTGAGTCTCACGAGGTCTGATGGTTTTAAAAACGGGAGTTTCCCTGCACAAGCTCTCTTTTTGCCTGCTCCCATCCATGTAAGACATCACTTGCTCCTCCTTGCCCTCTGCCATGACTGTGAGGCCTCCCCATCCATGTGGAGCTGTAAGTCCATTAAACCTCTTTTTCTTTTTTTTAATTATTATGGATACATAACAGTTGTGTATATTTATGGGGTACATGTGAAATTTTGATACAAGCATACAATGTTTCATTATTAAGTCAGGGTAACTGGGGTATTCATTGCCTCAACTATTTATAATTTCTTTGTGTTAGAAACATTCCAATCTTTTTTTTATTATATTTTAAGTTCTGGGGTACATGTGCAGAATGTGCAGGTTTGTTAAACCTCTTTTTCTTCCCAGTCTCGGATATGTCTTTATCAGCAGCATGAAAGCAGACTAATACAGTGAGATTCAAACTCAAAGTAGTAAATAAACAACATAAGATTTTTCACCAGATTCTCCAGGGCTTCAGCTAGGTTTCCTTGCTGAGTAGGTTTATGAGCCACTGCAAGTCATATCAAATTTTTAGAGCCTTAGTTAATCCACTTTAAGTAGAGAGGATTTGATTAACATTCATTGAGTATCTTTTATTTTCCAGGCACTGTAGAAACTACTAGGGATTGAGTGATCAATCATCCATAGTCCAACTTCACAGAATTAAAGTCCAGAAGAGAAGGCAGAAATTTCTATAACTAATAAAGTTACATATATGTTACAAAAGCCTGAACAAATACTGCAGAAGAGGAGAAAAACACCTAAGGTTCCTTTTAACCCTTTGCTACTAGTGATTTTATGATAGCTGTTTATAAATCCATAAGTGAAAAACATTATACACATAATATTGCTTATTTTATTTATTCCACACACACAAAAATGACCTTTAGTGCATAGTAATCTCCTTCCCATTGAGACAATACTTTTGCAGAGACATATTATTGAACTATGTAGTTGCTACATAGAATTAGTGGTTTCAAACAAGAGAGTGAAAAATAAAATTGAATAAAAATTGAAATGAAAAGAAAACAATTATATAGGAGGGATTATATTTGTTATATGTATATTTTTGCATGTAAAACAAATGGCGATGGTATGCATCACTACTATATAAATTGGATTTTATCATGATGGACAAGAACACTGCTGGCATGGATGTTACATTTTGAAATATAAATGAATTTGGAGCAGTAACCATGCCCCCTCCCTTTTTTTTTTGAGATGGAGTCTCACTCTGTGGCCAGGCTGGAGTGCAGTGGCATGATCTCTGCTCACTGCAACCTCCGCCTAGCGGCTTCAAGCGATTCTCCTGCCTCAGCCTCCCAAGTAGCTGGGACTAGAGGCAAGCACCACCCCTCCCAGCTAATTTTTGTATTTTAGTAGAGATGGGGTTTCAGCATGTTGGCCAAGATGGTCTCTATCTCTTGACCTTGTGATCCGCCCACCTCAGCCTCCCAGAGTGCTGGGATTACAGGTGTGAGCCACTGTGCCCAGCTGTTTTTCTTTTCTTTTTTTTTTTTTAATAGGATTTTAGGTGGATAATAGGACCATACAGTGAGGTCTCTAAAGAGCATTAACTGACTAAAATGGGTTTCCCTATTGAGGAGGTCTCGTCATTGAAGATTGGGCATGTAGAGTGACATTTGTGGGCTTCACAGGCCTCTCTTGTAGCTGTGTTCCCTCCTTCTTCATGGAAAGGTTTGGGATTGCCTTGCCTTTCTGATATTGCCTGACACAATATTCCTCAGTGCCTTGGGGTTGTAGTTGAATTGGATTGATTCCTTTAAGCTTGGGTATGTTCCAAATTTGCCCACGGCTTTGCTATGACCACCACAGGCTTAAACTAATTATAACATTTAAGAACATAACTCAGGTCCTCTTCCTTCCACGAGAGCAAATTTAGGAACCAAATGTTTTTCCCAATGACAGCTTAACTGAGGTAAAAAAAACAAGTTTTTTTCACCTTGAAAATAGGAAACTTCTAAGTAAAAATGAAAGAAAATGGATTTATACCTAATGTTTTCTTTCTGGACCAGCCTTTAATTAAAGCCACAGTTACATATGGGCATTTTAAGTACTCATTTTCTTCATCTCCAATATTATAATTTTGCCTTTATTCTTCATTCAATGCATTCATTTGACATGAGATCTTTGAACAAAATCATGCAAATGTAAACATCAAAATATAATTACCAAAATGATAAAAAAAATTCAGCAGGTGGATAACCTCTTTGAAGAAGAGAAACAATCATAGCTAATAAAGCTGCCAAGTAGATATGAGAAATTCACTGCTTTCTGCAAATCTAAGAAGAGAATGGGTAGTTTTAATTATTCATTACGCTGATGCTCAGGGAAAAATAAATTAAAAGCCTCTTATTTTATGAGAATTTAATTCAATTTATATGCTGTCCTTCTCTACTACCTTTCCCATGAGGCTTGTTGAACTATAGATCTTTGTGAAAAATAGCTTTCTCCCTTCCATTAGTGTTTCTTCCTGCCACAATCATCTCATGTACCCCATGACTGCGGTAGTGACATCAGACTTATTTTAATTCACAGCCATGTTTCTACTAATGAAAAGCAAGATAGGCTTAAAAACAATGACGTCCACCTTCAGATAAGATGCTAGTGGCACAGACATATATGCTTGGGTTTGGATATGTCCCGTTCAACATTTTAATAAGTGAGTTGAGTTAATTCATGAAAATGATATATATTTATTAAATGTGTGGATGTTACAGAAATGGAAAAGTCAGTTAATATGATAAATGATAGAATCAAGTGTCAAAAAGATACTGAAAAACTGCAAATTAGGAAAGTAACACATTTATATGTACCTTGAGTCTCACCCTTATCTGACTCAGATGATACTTAGATACAACTTTGGACTTTAGAGTTGATACTAGAATAAGTTAAGACTTTTGAGTCTTTTGGGATGGAATAAATATATTTTACTTGTGAGAAGGACATCCATTTCAGGGGGCTGGGGTGGGGAATGCAATGGTCTGAATGTTTGTATACCCCAAGAATGTATATGTTGAAATTTTAACACCCATTAAAATGTTATTAGGAGGTGAGACCTTTGGGAAGTAATTAGTTCATGAGAGTACAGCCCTCATAAATGTATTAATGCCTTATAAAAGGGACCACAGAAAACTCTCTCTCCCTATTTTCCCAATGTGATCTTATAAAGAGAAGATGACAGTCTGCAACTCAGAAGAAGGCCTTCACCAGAACCTGACCATGCTGTCACCCTGATCGTGAACTTCCAGACTCCAAAACTGTGAGAAATAAATTTCTGTTGCTTAAGCCCTCCAGTTTAAGGTAATTTGTTATAGCAGCTCAAACTGACTGAGACATTAATTTAGGATAAAAAATCAGTTATATCTATAAACAGATTGGGGAAACCTAGATAAGTGGTAGTTTATGTTAAAACAATAACAACAACAGTAACAACAGCAGCACAAAATTAACCAGAAGTTTTAGTTGACTTCAAGCTCAATATGAATCTCTAGTTTCAAGTCCACTGCCATAAAACTTAATTTTGGAAAATGTGATGAAGCTATATAGCAAAGTTGCCTTTGGGGGATAAAATACATTCTGAAAATGCTCCAGTAGGACGTTCTTGCATTCCTTTTGATGTATGGGCTCATGGATTGCACGTACCTTTTATTTTGTGTCAGGAAAACCCAGTATTGAATACAAAAATATAAGAAATTAGCACTGGAAGTTGTGATTACATTTTTCTTTTCCATAGCTCATTTATTGAAATGTCTGACTTTACTCATCTGAAATTGAAACTAATAACAGATATCTTCCTGGGCTTGTGTAGGCATAAATTTGATAGTGAGGACAAAATTGCATTAAAACCTAAAGTACTATTCCATGTTAATTTTAAGTAATGTCTTTCCACAGGTATATCTTATTTGGAGGCATGTAAGTATGTTAGCACACATAGAAAAATAGGATTTGGACACTCATGTACTGTTGGAGGGAATATAAGTTGACACAGGGGACTTGTACATAGCTTTCAAATTTTTAAGTACAAATGTTTTAATCAAGTAGTTCCATTTCTCTTTGTCTCTCCTATAGAAATACTCATATATGCACAGATATATGTATAAAAACTCTTTTTCAGCAGTTTTGTAATAGTAAGACGTTGGAAAAAATTTTAAAGTATATTAATAGGGAAATGGCTCAGAATTTGTAGTAAATTATAGAATATAAATACTATGAGATACTATGTAGTGGCAAAAAAGGAATGAGGTATACTGATAAGGAAAGATATCCATCAAAAAAGCATGTCAAAAAATATATAAAAAATGGATCAAATGTATGTAAAAATTAACCTTCGTGAATGTGAAGAGTGCACAAATATATTTGCGTATGTGTATAGACACACACTTACATATGTAAGATCCGTATCTACAGATCTCTCACATTTGTTCTGGACTGTCTTTTCAAGGATGTGTGTATGGCAAACAGCCTCGGAAGACAGAAATAGTATCTCTCTATGGGATAGGAGGCAGAGGGCAGATTTGTTTGCTGCCCAGGATAACAATTTTTTATCCCAAGGGCAAATGTGGGTCAGGTTCTCCAGAAGTCCCCTTCAAAAGATTGCAGTTTCCTTAAGCCAGGGTTGCTCATGGACACAGGTGTTACTTTTTGCTGCCTCTGTGAATATGTGTGTGGGGTGGGTGTAGCAATTAATTGTTCCATCTGAGGTGATAAAGGGTAAATCCTGAAATACTAGCAGTACATGAACAACTACTGTGAATTTACCTGTGTGCATCCAGAGGGCAGAGCTAGAGGCAATCATTGAGGAGAAGTTACAAAGGAAAAGGAGGCAGAATTTGCATCAATAAAAGGAGAAATTTCCAAATACTTAAAGAAACAACCTCACACGTGGTAAAATGGCCGTTATAAAAAAGAAGAAAGATAACAAGTGTTGATGAGGATGTGCAGAAAAGTGAATCCTTATGCACTCTTGCTGGGAATGCAAACTGATACATTCACTATGGAAAACACTATGGTGGATCCCCAGAAAGTTAAAACTAGAACTACCATATGTTGTGCAATTCCACTTCTGGTTGTATATCTCAAGGAAATGAAATGAGTATGTGGAAGAGATATCTGCACTCCCATGTTCACTGCAGCAATATTCAGAATAGACAGGATATGGGATCAATTGAAGTGCCCATGAAGGGATAAATGGATATAGAAAATATGATATATATACACAGTGGAATAGTATTTAGCCTTATAAAAGAAGGAAATCTTGTCATTTGAGACAACCTGGATGAACCTCAAAGACATGTATATTAAGTAAAAAAAAGCCAGACACAGAAAGACAAATATTGCATGTCTTACTTGTATGTGGAATCTAAAAAAGTTGAACTCATAGAAGCAGAAAGCAGACTGGTTACGAGGAGCTGGGGGTTGGGAGTGAGGGGAATTGGGTAGATGTTGGTCGAAAGATACACAATTTTAGTTAGACAGCAGGAGTAAGTTCAAGGGATGTATTGTACAACATAGTAACTATAGTTAATAACAATGTATTACATACTTGGAAATTTCTGAGTGTAGATTTCTCACCCTTTATAGTATTCTCACCATGAAAATAATAAATATGTGATGTAATATATATATATATATATTAATTAGATCGACTTTGCCATTCCACAGTGTATACATATTTCAAAACATCATGTTGTACACCATAAATATATATAATTTTTATTTGACAAATAAAAAATAAACAAAAATAAAAATAGAAATATATAGGTAAATTTCTCTTTAGTAAATTATTATTGCTCACCTTAAGGTTCCTTTTCCTCATTATTGTTGCATCATTAAAGAGTTATGATCCTCATCTAGTGGGTTAATCCTTATTGGATTTAATATTCTAAGTACTTAAGGAGTCTGATTTAACAAATTTGATCCTTGTCTCTTTTCCCTATGCTCTCTTCCCCCATCCCTGCCATATGGCTTGACTTCATTTGGGCAGTTATGTTTCCTCCATTCATGTATCTTTCCTTATTCATAGAATTAGGATCTAAAGGCCAGAATTTAATTTGAAAATTGGGTGCAATCGCATGTTCTCACTCATAGGTGGGAATTGAACAATGAGAACACTTGGACACAGGAAGGGGAACATCACACACCGGCGCCTGTCGTGGGGTGGGGGGAGGGGGCAGGGATAGCATTAGGAGATATACCTGATGTAAATGACCAGTCGATGGGTGCTGCACACCAACATGGCACATGTATGCATATGTAACAAACCTGCACGTTGTGCATATGTACCCTAGAACTTAAAGTATAAAAAAACAAAAAAGGTTAGAAAAGATGGAGACACATGAGAGGCTAAAAAGCCTATATTTAAGCCAGCAAGCAAAAATGTATGTAAAGGTGCCTCATAAACACTGCAAATAAATCCAGTTGAACTCGAAAAAAAAAATTGGGTGCCATCTTTCTGCTAATTGAAATACTGACGGCTGCACTGGGTCTGCTTTGATTTTGGGCTGTAAGTATTTGGTCCTCTAGACCAAGGGATTATGGAATCTACCAAATGGTCCTGCTCACCTCTATTTTGAGGTTTAGGGCTAAAGCCCCCATTGAAAAAAAGAAAAGGATGTCTTTCTCTTCTGTACCTCTTAATATACACCACCCCTGCCCCCTTAGGGAGGCAACAGGGAAGATCTTGCTGGGCCAGGAAAGATTGAAGTAATTCTGGATTCCTGGTCCAGCACCACTGTAACATCGTTCTCTAACAGAACTGCAGTGATTTCTGTTCCCCAACAGATATTGGCAGGACTATCAATTGCAGCAGTCCCCAACCTTTTTGGCACGAGGGACTGGTTTCATGGAAGACAATTTTTCCACAGATAGTGGGGGTGGGAGGGAAGAAACTGTTCCACCTCAGATCATCAGGCATTAGATTCTTATAAGGAGTGTGCAACCTAGATTCCTTACATGCACAATTCACAATAGGGTTCCCGCGCCTATGACAAGCTAATGCTGCCACTCATCTGGCAGGAAGTGAAGCTCAGGCTGTAATGCTCACTCGCCCGCTGCTCACTTCCTGCTGTGCATCTCGGTTTCTAACAGGCCATGGACTGGTACCAGTCCGTGGCCTGAGAGTTGGGGACCCTTGATCTTTTGGACCAGAGTGGTTACAATAGATGACTTGTATGAAGTTTCCATAATGCATTCCTTTTGTATAAGAATTGCTTCTATCTATATGTATCTTGTAACATCGTATTTGTACCTTAAATAAACTCAATAAAATTATTTGAAAAATTACTTATTGTATTCTCTCCATATAGCATAGATATTAGTATAATTCAGATTGTAAAATGGAGGAAGGAATAAAAATGTAAATGATTATCTGCGAAAACAGCACATCTTAAAATGTAGTTTGTTAGGTGTCAGTGCTTTACAAACAAAATTACAACTAAATATAAGTGTCAGAGGAGCCTGAAAAGACAAATATCAAGCAAATCTCAAACATGTTTCAAAACAGTTTTGCCACAATCATAGCAGCCTAATGTCCATTGTATTAAAAATACCTTAATTCATCTCCCTTCTATGATTTTCCATCCTTCCCTTTTCACATGTAAAAGGCAGCCATAATTTTTGCATGTTTCTTACAGTAATTTTATTGGAGTTTTCTAACCTTTACCATTGGCATATTTATCTTCCTTTCGGGCCTGGTTCTACTTTATAGAAACACCATGCTATTGAAATCTCCAGACAGGGACTGTGGGGTTTGACCTCTCATCCTCATGCATTGTTAATAGAACTTCCATCCCTTTTGTTAACACTTTGAAAATGCCAAACAATAATTTACAGCTCCTCACTCCTGCAGGGCCTTTGTAAAGAAATCTCACAGATGGTATGAAGAACTCTTAGACAGTGCATGCAGGGCTACGGATTGCAGGAATGTCTTGGAGCCTTTGTGCACTCAGGACGAGGCATGAACCATCAATGAAGAAAGGGAAAAAAGAAAACAATAATAGAACCCAAACTTGTAGCCTGTACCCTAGAATGCTTATGAACGAAGCTGTCAAAGAACCGTACCCTGTATTTATGGAGTGTGATGTTTAATTGGAACTGAATAAATCATATATTAAATAGATATATTGAAGAAAAAATAGGACCATAGATACACATGCACACATACATACACACCACATACATTACAAATAATTTAATTTAATACATGCATGCATTGTTTATTTTTAGAGATGGTTTTCAAAACACAACATATTCTAGGGAAAGGGTCAGCAAATTTTTTCTAAAAAGGAACAGATAGTATGTGTTTTCGGTTTTCTAGGCCACATCCAATCTCGGTGTCAATGACTACTCATTTCTATTGTTGTAGTACAAAAACAGCCCTAAACAATATGTAAATGAATGTGTGTAGCTGTGTTACAATAGCACTGCATTTATCAGCGCTGACATTTGAATGTCACATAATTTTAATGTCATATTATTCCTTTTATTTTGTTCAATCATTTAAAAATGTAAAAGCTTTTATTTGCTTGCAAACTATACAAAAACAAGTGGTGAACTGTATTTGGCTCATGGGTGACATCTGCTTCAAAGGATCAATATCTGTGGGATAAAATAAAAGGTTATGATGTCTAAAATTTGAAAGTATGTTAGATTTGAGAATATCTCTTAATACTTAACATAATTGAGTAACTTTCATGGACATGACTATTTGAAAGTGCTAAGATAATCACAAATTAGTTCTGTCCTCTCTGTGTTTCCTCTGCAGTTGTTATATAGGAAATTTCCTGTCCTCTGAAAAGTTATCAGCAAATTTGACTGTGTTTTTTTTTGTAAATTATCTTGTACTGGACAGCCACCATCTCCATTTGAAATTTAATAATGTGTAATGAAAGTAATTACTAAAAATGGCTATCAAATCTAAATTACCAAATGAAGCTAATAACAAAGAAACTGATATACTGTTCTTACTGTATACGTGTCATCACACTCAATCTTTCATTTTTTTCATTTAAAATTTTATTTTAGGTTCAGGAGTACATGTGCAGGTTTTTTATACAGGTAAACCTGTGTCACAGGGACTTGTACAGATTATTTCATGACCCAGGTACTAAACCTAGTATCCAATAGTGATTTTTTTCTGCTCCTCTCCCTCCTCCCACCCTCCATCTTCAAATAGGCCCCAGTGTTTTTTGTTCCCCTCTTGGTGTCCATGTGTTGTCATCATTTAGCTCCTACTTATAAGTGAGAACATGTGGATTTGTTTATCTGTTCCTGCATTAGTTTGCTAAGGATAATGGCCTCGAGCTCCATCCATCTGTGTTCCTGCAAAGAACAGCATCTCATTGCTTTTTATGGTTGCATAGTATTCCACGGTGTATATGTACCACATTTTCTTTATATAATCTGCCATTAATGGGCATCGAGGTTAATTCCATGTGTTTGCTGTTGTGAATAGTGCAGCAATGAACATATCTGTGTATGTGTCTTTATGGTAGAACGATTTATGTACCGAAAGGTATATAAATCCCAGTAATGGGATTGCTAGGTCAAATGTTAGTTCTGTTTTTAACTCTTTGAGGAATCACCACACTGCTTTCTATAATGATTGAACTAATCTACACTCCCACCAACAGTGTAAAAGCCTTCCCTTTTCTCTGCAACCTCACAAGCATCTATTATTTTTTGACTTTTTAATAATAGCCATTATAACTGGTATGAGATGATATCTCATTGTGTTTTTCATTTGCATTTCTCTAATGATTAGTGATGTTGAATATTTTTTATATGCTTGTTGGCCACATGTATGCCTTCTTTTGGAAAATGTCTGTTTATGTCCTCTGCCCACTTTTTAATGGGGTTATTTGTCTTTTTCTTGTAAATTTGTTTGTTCCTTATAGATGCTGGATATTAGACCTTTGTCAGATGCATAGTTTGCAAGTATTTTCTCCCATTCTGTAGGTTGTCTGCTCACTCTGCTGATAATTTCTTTTGCTGTGCAGAAGCTCTTAAGTTTAAATATATCATATTTGTCAATTTTTGCTTTTGCTGCAATTGCATGTTTGTCATGAAATCTTTGCTGTTCCTGTGTCCAGAATGGTATTGCCTAGGTTGTCTTCCAGGGTTTTTATAGTTTTTGGTTTTATATTTAAGTCTTTAATGTATCTTGAGTTGGTTTTTGTACATGACATTCCATTTAATTATAGAGCTTCAGCCAAAGTTTTCTTCACCACAATTATTTCGTTGCTGATGAAGTCTGATTTCATTGTTTTAACGTCCAAACAAACATTGGTAGAATCTTAAGGTATATATATATATATCACATACAATTAATATATTATGTTAATCTAGCCCCCTAAATACAAGAAAGATAAGGGCTTGAAATAAATCAATGGCTGAAAGAGAAAACAAGAAAATGTAAAATAAACATATAAGTTGTCATGCCATATTTATATAAAGTGTTTATATTCATTATTCCTATGTTTCTTTCTTACTTTTTCCATGTTTCTTTCTTTCATTTTCCACCATCGTATTTGTATTAGTTATCCACTGCTTCATAATAAATTACCGCAAACTTAATGGCTTAAAACAATCTACATTTATTACCTCACAGTTTTTGTGGGTCAAGAGTTCAGGTCCAGCTGAACTGGGTTTTCTGCTCAGAGTCTTACAAAGCTGTAATCAAGGCATTAGCTGCCTATAGTCTCATCTAGAGCTAGGTGTAATCTTCCAAACTCATGTGGTTGTTGGTTTCTTTCTTTGTGGTTCCTTGTGATTGCAGGACTGAGGTTCTTGCTTTCCTGCAGGCTGTTGGCCTGGGAGTAGGTGGTCACTCTCAGCTCTTAGAAATCCCCACAGTTCTTGCTAAATGGTCCTATCATGGCATAGCAACTTACTTCTTCAAGGCCAGCAGGAGGCTCTCTCTTGCTTGGATCTGTTAAGAGAAAGTTTTATAAATTGTGACATAATCAGGGGAGTGAGTACTCCATTACCTTTGCCATAATTTATTGGCTAGAAGCAAGTCACAGGTTCCAGCTGACCTCAAGAGGAGGGGATTATACAAAGGCATGACTCATTGGGGGTCGCCTTAAGATATGTCCACTACAATACTACTAATATGGATCCAGAATGAATTGACTCAAATATTAGCCATGTAAGAATAATATTGGGATATGTTCTTGGAGAGTATTTATCATACTGTTCTAAAATTCAATCTGTAAATATTTCTCAAGAGACATCCAATTAGAATGCAAAATCATCGATCAGGGTTTCTCAGGCTGGAAACTGTTGATATTTTGGCTGAATATTCTTTGTTGTGGGAGTTGGCCTATGAATTGTAGGGTGTTTTGTAGTGGCACTGATATAGCCACTGGATGCTAGTAGCACCCCCTCCTCAAGTTGTGACGATAAAAAAATGTCTGCAGACATTGTCATACATCTTCCCTGGGGTGGAGATTAAATCACCATCAGTTAAGAACCACCACCACAGATAATTTCAGTCTTTAAATTTTAATACTAACCTGAGGCAGTCTTACCATTATTAAACCTTAACATGTTCACCTTACAGTGGTCCTTAGAGTGTTTTCATGGAACAAGAGAGAAATAAATGATTTGGGAATATATTTTGAAGATTTATGAAAGTGTGGAGGAAGGTGGAATCTAGGAAGGACCTATTTCTGGCCTGGATAACTTTATAAAAGGTGGAACCATTGTATTAGTCCATTCTCACACTGCCATAAAGATCTACCTGAGAATGGATAAGTTATGAAGAAGAGAAGTTTAATTGACTCGCAGTTATGCAGGAGGTACAGGAACCATGGTTGGGGAGGCCTCAGGAAACTTACAATCATGGCAGAAGGCAAGGGAGAAGCAAGGCATTTCTTCCCATGGCAGGAGAAGGAGAAAGAGAGTGATGGAGGAAGTGCTACATGCTTTAAAACAACCAGATCTCCTGAGAACTGTATCACAAGACAACACTAGGGGGATGTTGCTAAACCATTAGAAACCACCCCCATGATCCAATCACCTCCTGTCAGTTCACTCCCCCAACACTGGTGATTACAATTCAACATGAGATTTGGGTGAGGACACGAAGCCAAACCATATCAACCATGAATAGAAAAATAGAATACAGGAAGAGGTGCAGGTGTTAGGGGTGTATAGTGAAGAAGAAAAACAACATGCTGACTGTGAGTTTTTTAATGGAATATCCAAGTGGATGTATGAAACAAATAATCGAATATATAAATCTAAAACTCTGGGGTGATATTAGAACCAAGGGCGATTGGCAAGTAGATGGTAGTTACAAGGAAGAAAGAGATGAATAAAATTACTGAGGCACAGCACGTAGATAAAACAGAGCAATGATTTGGGTAGAGGCCTTGGAATATGAAAGATAGAGATAGAAAAACAAGTTAATTATAAACTTCAAAAAGGAACAGACAGAGTTAGGATTAGAAACAGGGGAAAAGAGGATAATAACATGACACTGAAGGTAATTGATAGTTTAACCAAAGAAATGTGATGATTGGTGCCAAATAAAGCATCAAAGTCCAGGAAGATATCTATTGAATTTGACAATATTAAATCAGTTTTTTAGATTTTTCAGTGGAAGTCTGGAGGTTTATCCTTCAAAGCCTGCTTTAGTCTCCTTATTCAATGATAACTTATTTCAGTCAGGCCAGGTCATACTGATTTTCTCTTACATAGATGTCCGAAGGACCTCGCTATGCAATAATATTATTCAAGTTTGCATTTTATCATGGTATTTTCAAATATTTTGGCTTTAGGTACAAAGATCTCTCCAAAGGGATGCATAACTCTCTTTTCTCAACCCTTGTTCTGTTTTTTTTTTTACAGAGACCTCATGAAGGGGATCTTGTTTAAAGCTTTCTTAAAACCTTAGTTGTGAAGGGTTGAGAATGAACCAAAGTCTAAGAATGTTGACTTCTAAAGAACACTACTGATTTCCAATTCAGTGTTCTTTATTCTTGGCTATATGTCTATCTACATATCTTGGTTAAGTATTTAGATTTTAATAGTTTATATAAGAGTTACCATGTGTTGTATTGGGGTATTTATAAGGAAACAGTGTGTGCTTCTAGAAACTTATTCTTTTGCAACTGAATTTTTAAAAATCCAGTAATTTAATTGAATAAATTATTCACGCTCATTGCAGCGATACTATCAGGAAGTCTAAGATGAATTCTGTAGTCTTTCCTTCCCTTAGACTCTAATTCCAATCCTGTAATGTAATTGTTGTTTGTAATTTAGTGTGATTTCTTTCATCCCTTTTTCTTTTTTATGCACATGTATAAAATCAAATATACCCTTATATGGTTGGGGATTAAAAGCAGTTTTACTGAATTAGAATGACATGTGGAGAAATGGGAAAACTTGCACACCATTGGTGGGGGTGTAAATTAGTACAGTCATTATGGAAAACTGTATGGAGGTTCCTCAAAAGACTAAAAATAGAATTACCATATGATCCAGCAATCCCACTTTTGGGTATTGACCCAAAAGATTTGAAATTGATATGTCAAATAGATGCCTGCATTTCCATGTTCATTGTGGCACTATTCACAATAGCCAACTTGTAGAATCAACTTAGTTTCCATCAACTAATGAATGGATAAATAATATGTGGTATATATACATGATGAAATACTATTCAACTGTAAAATAGAAGCAAATACTGTCATTTGCAGCAACATGCATGAACCTGGAGGACATTATGCTAAGTGAAATAAGCCAGGCACCGAAAAACAAATACCACATGTTCTTACTATGTGGACTGTGAAACAATCTCAAAGTAGCAGAGAATTGAATAATGGTTACAGAAGCTGGAAAGAGGGAGGAATGGAGATATGATAGGCAAAGGACAGAAAACCTCAATGAGAATGGAAGAATCAATTTATTTTCTTTACTTTGAGATATATTGCACAGCATGGTTAATATACTAATAATAATGTGTTGTATATTTCAAAATCACTGAGTAAATTTCCAAATTTCTCACCACAAAAAGATAAGTATTTGAAGATAGATATGTTAGTTAAATTATTCCACAATGTATTCATAAATCACAGCATAATTTTGTATCTCATAAATATATGAAACTATAATTTGTCAATTTATAATTAAAATATAAAAAGTTTAAAGATTAAAAAAATTAGAATGACAAAATATATAAAAAATTTTGTAATTTGATATTTTAAAAATTTAATTCCATGTTAAGGACATCCCTTCTCAAGTCAGTACACCTGGATATACCACATTCAATATAAGCGTGGTATTTCAGAGTAGTAGATTTATTAATTATTAACTTAGTTGCTTATTCATTTAGTCACGTATTCATTAATTTAGTCACTCATTCACTGATGCATATTCATGCTGTTTTCAAGTTATTATAAACAATGCTTTAATAATGAACATTTATATTTTATATGGGCACATTCAACTAAAAGTGTTTTGTATATTTAAAATGCCATTAAATTGTTGGAGTCCTTTCCCACTTTCCCTGATATAGCTTTTCTTCTTCTCTTCTTTCACTTTCCGAAAACTACTTTTTAATTGGCTTCTAGGTAGCTTTTACAGTCCCTTAGTTCAGTCAACCACCAATCACATCAGATTTTAAGGGTTGAGTTTTGGGATAAGATTTTTTTTTTTAATTATTTGTTGCTAAGTATTCTCCGTCATTTACCTTCCTCTCTGTGTTACGGGATTGTTTGGGTTTTGTTTTTTGTTGTTGTTGTTGTTGTTGTTGTTTGGTTTTTGTTTTTGTTTTTGCCTTGCCACATCCTTATGGTGCCACTAGCTTGGGATCCAAGCAACAAAGACTTTTCATCTATTGCAGCTAAAAAATGGTATGTGATTGGTAACTCTAGCATTAATGTCAAAGCTGAGCATAGATGGCCTGTAACTGAAAAACTCATTTAGGTATAATAAAATCCACTCTTTTTACTTGATTGTAGTTACTGTTTTTCCAGTGATTATAGATTGCTTTGGAAAATACAAATACTTGGCTAATGGTTTTATTCTGCTACAATTTTCCTCATCCTCTTTTTATCTTCTTAAAAATCCTTCCTTCTTATTCTCCATCAGGTTTTAGGATGCTGATGAGCCTAGCTAAGATGGTGAGAGATTAGAATACTAGAAAAATAAGGGCCCAGGAAATTGAGAACATTACTTAAAGAATTCCTACTCAGCAGAAATGCTCCCTATGCCTCTGAATCCACTCTCACTATATTGAAATTCTTGATGTAATCAAATATTCAAAACTGGAAAATCTATAAGAATTTTCAGCATAACAAATACCATTGATTTCCATCTATTTTATTTCATGCCGCATCATTGCTAAGAATAACTTGTTCCTCATGTATTTTAAAATACCAGATTTTCTATAGAACATAGGAAGAATTGAATTACATGATATTTTTCTCTTTAATAATTGTGCAATGTACAAAGATCAAGAGGATGAGAATTGGGCTTTTGTCAGGGTCTGCTACTTACTAGCCATGTGATCTCGGTCAAACCATTTAATTTCTTTGGGCCTTGGTTTCTTAATATAAGGGGAAAGCAAATAGATTCTCCAAAGAATTTCTAATTCCAAAATTGTATGATCCTTCAATTCCATTGAGGATAGAATCTCATTAAACTTGGACCAGTGGAGTCCCTTGAAATGAAAATGTCTTGGTATGATTGCCATTGTAATGTGTAAATGTTCTGAAATTAAATCAATAAAGTGTAATCCTTACTGCTCTTTTTTATGCATGGTTTTATTGTGTGATGTTAAACAGCTACTGCATTCTATTATGGCTGTAGTCCTTCAGTTCTGGTTGAAATAACTCCTATGTATATACTGAGAAACAAGGCTAATGCATGATTCAGCACCTTTATAAATCAAAGATTCTATTACAGGCGGAAAATAGCCCAACAAAAGCTATTCTATTACATTTCAATACCATAGAAAAGAAGAGACTATATCAAGTGGCAAACATAAGTCCTCTCTTTTTATTTTGCAATGCAATAAAAAGGCTATGTAGGATTTAGTAGTTTCTTCTGTCCCGTGGTTACTACATTAACACTTACATTGAATGATATTATTTAAAAGTCCATTTTTTTTTCAGAATGTCAATTATCTTCCAAGCTTTGGTAAAGAGATGGACTCTGCAGAGTAAAGAGGATTATTTTTTTCAATCTAGTTCAATTGGAGTTTTATTTCCTGATGGCTAACCAGGAACAGCTTCACAAAACCTACATTAGGAGAACAATCCACATATATAGGTTTTGAACAATATGCACACATATATATGTTCGTATTTGTATATAAGTACACATTGAATATACAAATATATACATTTGTACTTATATATAAAGTGAATTGATTTGATAAAACAATTATATTAAATATAAATCTAGGTGCAAAATTTTCTTAAAGTTTTTATTGTTGTGTAGTCCATCCCCACTCCTCCAGGTATAACCCTAAAGTTCCAGGCTTATATTTTATTGATAAAGAGGAATTAGACATTTGTTCTGAATATTTCCTCTACCATTTCAAGAAGACAAGCTCGGAATAGTCATTATAGCTGCCATTTAGAAATCAATAACAATTACAGTTCCCATATATAGTACGTTGAGTAATTCACTTCACCCCAGTCCCTTTTGGCCTGGAACTTCAAACTTGCAAAATTTATTTGGCATAGGCAACCAATTAACTTTAGAAGAGGCATGATATTAATAAATTATTTAATGCATAAAGCCCCTTAATTACATATTAGAATACTACATACTAGATAGCAGCAACTATGGAAAATATGTGATAATAATCCTACTCTATAGAATTTCAAAATTTATATGATAAAACAGAAATGACAATCTTGTGGAAACTTCAAACTTACAAAATTTATTTGGCATAGGCAACCAATTAATTTTAGAAGAGGCATGATACTAAATAATTTAATACATTAAGCCCCTTAATTACACATTAGAATACTACATACCAGTATTTCAAAATTTAGAAGATAAAATAGAAACGATAATCTTGTGGAAATTTTTAGGGAATGGGAAGGTTTGAGAATAAGGGAGTGGGTGATGGAGAAGGAGAGATGGCGGTAAAATAGGTATTTTCAAAACCATAACCCCCAGCAGGCCATAAATCTGGTTACTTTGATTTTCTCATTATAATTATTCAGTTTGAATGAAGCTACCTTTCTTCCACCATTTTAGATAATAACTTAAGTGAGGAAGCAGTGTTTCCTTAAGAACTTGGTGGATTATATCTACTCCCTAAAGATATAAACTTGTGTCCTACCATAATTTTTCTTCTCATTTGCAGTTAGCATTCGTGAATACAGAAACTATTTCTTATTTTCCCTGAACAGCAGGAAATACATGATCAACTTCTGATCTTATTCTAAAACAGTTAAATAATACACTAATGTTATCTTAGAAAGTAGAATTTAAACAAGTGCCCTATCATCACAAAAACATTCTTGCATAGTAATAGGTTAAAATAATGCATTTGGCCAATAGAACCTATACTGTTAGGAGTTACATAAATTAACTTGACACATTAAAGTAATCCCCAAGTATCTAATTCTAATAATATTTCATGATATGGATACAGAATACTTTAATAATTCAAAACTAGAATTGAATTACTCTATTATTTGTTTAGTGAGATAAATCTGTTATTTCTGAGATCCAAAGAAATAACACATTAATACACCCTCAGTGAAGTAAAATCAATCCTACAGGTCATTGCTTGACTTTGTGGGTTAAAATTGCTTTCAACATCTTATTATTAGCACTGTTGTACTGGAGGCTTCTAACTCCATTATCATGGAGGCAGAATTTCACTTCTTATAATGGCGTGCTACCTTTAAAAATGCAAAGTTTTAAGTACAGGATGCTTTGAGTGTACTTGATTTTTTTCTAAATTAAAAGAGATTGGATTTATTGTCAATAACTTGTCACACAGGCAAACTTTCAAATTTACAAGTATTGAAAAATGCTAGAATGCTAGAAGAATAGATAAGTAAATGAATTACTGGCACATTTAAGAATGCTTTTGAAATAGATGGTTGTGTGTTATGGTTTGAATGTCCTCTCAAAAACTCATGCTGAAATTTAATTGCCATTGTATCAGTGTTGAGAAGTGGGACCTTTAAGAGGTGATTAGGTCATCAGGGCTCTGCCCTAATGAATGGATTAAAGCCATTATCAAGAGAGTGGGTTAGTTATCGTAGGAGCAGGCTCCTGATGAAAAAGTTTGGCTCCCTTTCTCCCTCTGTCTTACATGCTCTCTTGCAAGTCTGCCTTCCACCATGGGATGTTGAACACAAAGGCCCTCACTGATGTGGGCCCCTTGACCTTGGACTTCCCAGCCGCCAGAACTGTAAGAAATGCATTTCTTTCTAAAATAAATTACCCTGTCTGCGGTATTATGTTAGAACAACACAAAATGGACTGTGATGCTGTGTTTATTGTTGGCGCATTTTACCTTCTTTATCACCTTCTTAATTTAGATCTCTCTCAAGCTGAAGAAGACTAGATGAGAGAATCAACTTCTGTCATTTTATTTTACTGCCAAATCCACACTGTGATTTTTTTCCACATGCTGCTTCCAAATGTCATAAGATTATAAGCTGTTTGTTTTTACTCGAGTTTAAGTGGCTTTGCATATGAGAAATGAATAGGATTATGTGTGTGCATACCTGGTGTATATCTAAGGGAACCAATACTAAAAATATCCTGCCAATCAACAGGTTTAAAAATCTAATAAAAATGTTTTCAATGTAGCGCAGTCCTTTGCTGCAGACTTGAGCAAACATCTAGTTACCTCTATTTCTTCATTCTTTTTTATTTTCATATGAGAAAAATGAGTTTGTCTTTAATTTGCTTTTTATTTATGTGTGCACTAAACCAAAAAACTACGATAGAGTTTATACATTCTGGAACTGACAAAATAGAGTTATCAGCTCTAAACAATGCTTATATATTGTCCTAACTATGTATCAACAGAGTAATAAAGTTTATATATTATTCTTGAAATAGAATCTCTCAGAGTTGTACTTGATTTTTATCCAAAATAATGCCATCACTCCTTATTATTCTTTAACTAAATATGTTCATTTGAATAGAAGAGCTGAATAAATTACTTTGTTTAAAGAGGGCATTTCATTTTAATTAAGGAAACAAATTACTGATCCTTCTCAGAAATTTTTGGCTGAACCTTAGGGAGTAGTTTATGTAAAATTTACAAAGGAAAAAATAGAAGGATATGTTTGGCTTATATGTAACTTTCTTATTTCAATTTATGTTTTCCAATTTAGGAAATTTGTATTTAAATTGCTTCTGCCCTGCACAAAGTTGAAAAAAGTATTTGAAATTATCTAATGGGTTTGTGTTTAGACAATCTTAAAAAAAGTAAGATGTTGGCCAGCCACAGTGGCTCACGCCTATAATCCCAGCACTCCGGGAGGCCGAGGCAGGTGAATCACCTGAGGTCGGAAGTTTGAGACCAGCCTGACCGACATGGAAAAACCCCATCTCTACTAAAAATACAAAAAATTAGTCAGGCGTGGTGGCACATGCCTGTAATCCCAGCTACTCAGAAGGCTGAGGCAGGAAAATCGCTTGAACCTGGGAGGCAGAGGTTGTGGTGAGCCAAGATTGCGCCATTGCACTCCAGCTTGGGCAACAAGAGCGAAACTCCGTCTCAAACAAACAAACAAACAAACAAAAAGTAAGATGCTAATGTTTCCTCTCAGGAAGAGATAATAGCTGATACCAAGTTGTGATCCCCTACGGACAGTTAAGAAACTGAGATAAGGGAGGAAGAAGCAGCCAGCAGGAACACTGAGAAAAGATTGCATTAGAAGTCTTAGTATCCACTGGTCATGAAGAAAATTCTATGGTGCCTAAACTTTATAACAAATGTCAATTAGGAATTTCAAAATCAGCTATTTCCAGTGCACTTTGTGTATCTGCATCTATCAGTGATTTTAATTTAACCTCTTTGAATTCCAAACTTCTTTACACTTTCTGTACCTTATCTTCCATAGAACTGGTATCTATCCAAGGCTGTTGCATATGGTTGTTAAAACTGCTCACCATACAGTTGCCAAATCCCTATACCCTGATGCTGGGCTGTATCCACAAGGATGCGCAGAGAGGTGTTGTGTGCACCAGCAGTTTTCTGACTCTATCTCAAGGATAATTGCTTCCTCTGTAACCCGCCTCCTTCAATGGACAGTGAACAATGTCCACGCTTCTGGTCTCATGGTTACTTATGAAAGAACATTTCAGAAATCTCAAGCTCCCAAGTCTGCCTCCAAATAAGGTGACCATATAGTCCGTTTTGCCTGGGACAGTCCTGGTTTGCACCTGTTGCTGTTATATAATTACTCACAATGCTCCTTTTTGCTACCTGTGATAGCCTGAAAAAAAAGTTATCCACATATTAATCCTTGGAACTTGTGAACGTTAACTTACATGCAGGGGGACCAAAGTCTTTGCAGATGTGATTAGGTGAACCACTTTGAGATGGGAAGGATAATCCTGATTATCTGAGTAATCCCTATTACTGAGTATTCTTAATCTCATGTACCCTCAATACAGAGGCAGAAAAAAAATTTGACAGACACAAAGGAGGAGAAAGTGATGTGATCATGGAGGCAGAGATTGGAGTTATGCAGCCACATGACAAGGAATGTTGGCAACTATCAGAAACTGGAAAGATGCAAGGATTAGAGTCTCTTTTAGACTCTGGAGGGAGCATGGCCTAGCTGGCACCTTGGTTTCAGCACAGTGAAACTGATGTAGGACTTCTGGCCTCCAGAACTGTGAGAGAACAAATTTATGTTATTTTAAGCAAACCAAGTTTGGTAATTTGTTACAGCAGCCACAGGGAATGAAAACATTGTGAAAAGTTTTCCATTTTGAAAGATAAATAATATGCTAATTCTACCTCCAAACTGTGTCAATTATAAAGATCCTTTCTTTGAGGACCATGACATTGGGCTAAAGGACTATCAACTTCTTATTGTAATTGATCAATCTCCTAGTTGTCCTAATTTATTCTCTGAGGTTTCAGCTCCCCTGACCATAATCTTAGCCAGGTTCAGTATGCCATTGGTTGATATGTCAGGCACCCTGCCTTTGTACTTCCCTGTCTTTCTTAAATTCAGCCATTTTGTCTATTGAAATTGATATCTCATTCAAGATTTGTCAGTGCTCATGACTGCTCTGTTTCTTAAATTCAAATTCCCCACCATTTCAATGCAATATCTTACCTTCTTATACACTCAGACAAGTGCAATTATCTTCAACCATATAGAAACCCCAGCTACTGATTGCTCTGCTTTCTTCCAAGATATAAGCCTGCTCATTACCTTTCTCTCTCCTCTTAGCTACCTCTGTTGATTACCTGCACTATATGCGAATAATTTTCTCAACAACTTTAAACTATTGTCTTTTTACCACACCAAACTGACAAAATCTTATCTCTATAAACAATACAATACTCTTCTCTTACCACTCCTATATTGTTTACTAAACCCGGTTGCAGAAAAATAGCATAACCCTATGGACAGGATAAATTCATATTCTCGAATGCATTTGCAACCAGAGTAGAACCAGGAGTATTTTTGTTTCTTTTTGGACTATATTATTTCTCATTGCTCTCAGCTAGTGGACAATTTATTTGCTGTCCTTACATCTCATTCTACCATTTCTCTCCACTCTCAGCTGATGAATATAACATCTGTTTTATCAATAAATGGTCATGCTCAGATATGATTTTTCTCAACGATTGGCTTCCAATTACCCATAGCCTGCATTAATATTAATTTTTACCTCCTTTCAGCTACTCTTGGAGGAAAAAGTGTTAGCCCTCTACTTGTGCTCTTGATGTCATTTTCTCCTGTATCCTTGAGTTTCATCTCTCATCTTTCAAAAATGTTCCCCATTTCTCCAGCTTCCTATTTCTTCTTTTCAGTCTGTAAACACACCCACATAGGCACAGAAATATATTCAAATAGTCTTTGACCCTCAAATCCTTCCTATATACTTACACCAAAGAGTTTTCACTTTTCTTTGTTCTAAGAAAATATTTTTAATTATATTACATTACATTATATATAATACATTGCACCCATATATATTCCAATAGCTCATTATGACTTATTACAAAAACACTTCACTCCTACCCCCGAGTTTCACTCCTCTGAAGTAATCAGTTTCAACTCTGTCAAAAATACAATCATCAGATCAAATTTTAAAAAAAATTTTAAAGTTTTTTGTGCGTAGAAAAGGACAGTTTGCAAACCAGGACTCCTCAAACCAAGAGCAGTAAGAAGCCCACTTCACAGCACAGTTTATAAAACATAAAGGATGAAGTATTTTGGCCTTTTTCATGATTGGCTGTTATATGTTAACATTCTTTTTAGCAAACAAAGCTGATTAAGCTGATTTCTCTATAGCTGATTAGCTTCATTTCACTGAATCATGCTGATGAGGATGTAAAACTGTTTTGGATTTAAGATTAAGGATAGTGTTTTAGGAAGTTCAGGATGATTTAAATTTTGGTTAAGTAACTATGGGCCTTAAAGTATATTTAAACTGTGGGTTTAAAGCTTTTAGCTTTAGCTCCCCGTTCTATGCCCTGGGAGGATGACTTCTATGGACTGGATCAGCAGGTTTCCCTTGAACTTTGGCTTTTAATTTCACTTTGGCAGTGACAGGTATTGGCAGGAAATCAAAGGGCAGAAGCAGAGAGAGGTCAGGTATATATTCCTGCTCCCTGATGATCCTTCCCTATCAGATTACAGTTTAATGGTCATTGTGTTCCCCTACCTATGGCCCCATCTCTTGTTCAGTGATTCTTTCCCACAGTTGGAGGTCTTTCTAGTTCCATTAACACGGCTCCACCCTTTGCCTCCTTTTAAGGGATGGGAAAAACTTCCCACTATTGTTAGTTCCTGGGTGCATCTCCATTTTTAATGCATTCCTCAGCCCTGCCCTCCACTCTAAAAATAGCCTCTTCATTAAATTCTCTTCAACTACTTTGAATAAGATGTTTTCTGCAGAGACCATGATTAAGGACTATTTCACTCTCATTGCTTACTCACACACTTACCCTCTTTCTCCCATCCTCTCAGTGTGGTTATGTATCAGTTAGACTACAACCAGAAAAAAAAAAAAAAAAGAAACTAAAAAAATTCTTGAAACATTTAAACAGATGGAATTTAAGAGAATTGGCTCTTCACTTGATGGTAACAGTTTGGGCAACACAGATTAATATCAGCAGAAAGCAGTTACCACTCCTAGGCTAGAGGTACTAGGGTGGTTTTACTGGCCTCCAGAGCCCAAGGTCACTTGGTAAATGTTGGAACCACAAGAACAATTGTCTGGAAGGGCTACTGGAGCAAAGGAGATGCAAACTTTGCTAGAAAAGCCAGCTGAAGCATAGAGGAAGAAGAAGAAACCTGGATTCCCTCTACTTCATGCCCTCCAGTCTCCCTTAGGTGCCTCCCTCTGGCTGAACCTACATGGAAGCCAGAGGAGAAGAAAACTTGGAAATATATGTGCAGGAGTCATCACTCTGAGATATAGAAAAAAAAGTCCAAGGGAAATTCTGGGGTATTTCAATTCTTTTATGTAGGCAACCATTCAATCCAGGGTAAAAGCCAAAGCTCAAGTAAGTGTACCTATGTGGATAAATTTTACCTGATGTTTACCCTTATGTTCTATTCTCCTTGGTCCAGCAAACTTCAAATCCATTCCCAGAATATGTTCTGATTTCTTACCTATACGATTAGTAAGAACTTGCAACTACATTGGATAAAAGTGCTAGCTCCTTCCCAGATCTTGAAATTCTCCCCTGAATAATACTAGGACCTGACTCTTAAGGGCAACGTGGAGGCAATATGAATGGTGGAGTTTGGTCTTGAGGAGCTGTCTTTCTTTTGCAAGACAGCTGTCTCTGAGAGGTCATTAAATGTTCCTTTTTATTTTTTTCAAAAGCAGCTTTATTTTTAATAGCCCAAACCTGAAGACAACCCAAAAGTCCATAGAAACTTACGGATAAACAATTGTGGTATATCCACACAGTGAAATATTACTCAGCAATAAAAAGAAATATCTACTGATATTCTTAACTTTGATTGAACTCTACAAAAAGGATGCTTACTGAAAGATGGTAGACAAAAAATAAGCGCTCACTGTATGATTACATTTGTATAAAATTCTAAGAAATGCAAAGTAATGTGTGGTGATAAAAAACAAATCAGTGGTTGTATGCAGATGAGAGATCAAGGAGGGACAAAACAAAGAGATTATTAAAGGCATAAGAAAACTTCTGGGGGTGATACGGTCATTACCTTAATTGTGACAATGGTATCATAGGTATATATATGTGTCAAAATTTAACAAATTTTACAATTTAAATATGTGCAGTTTATTGTATTCCAATTATACACCAATAAAGCTGTTATGGCTACCCATAAAAATCTGAATCTTCCATTTCTCTTGGAACATCAACCAACCCTATATTAACTCAACTATTTCCCATTTCCTATATAATGGGAGGGTCATCTCTGCCTCGGTTTAGAAACTGCAGAGCAATGAAGGCCACATCCACCTGAACTCTAGATGGGTCACACAATACCCATCCCTGGACTGCAAAATGTCTCAAACTGTATCAATATGAAGGTTCTTACTTATTAGTTTTATTTATTTTTTAAAAGTTTTTAAAAATTTTTTTTAAAAAATTTATATTCATTTTATTTTATACTTTGAATTTTTTTAATTTTAGATTTTTAAAATATTTTGAATTTTTTTAATTAAACAAAAAACTATTTTATTTTTAGAGACGTGGGTCTCATTATGAGGCCCAGACTGGCCTGGAACTCCTGGGCTCCCACCTCAGCCTCCCCAGTAGCTGAGACTACAGGCATGTGCCACTGCACCCAGCTTAGTTTTATTTTTGGAAAGATGTTTTATCTAAATAAGATGTAATCAAACATATTTCAGGATTTCTAACTGAAACAATATTTACCAGAGTCATCCTTACTAAGCATTAAGGCTTAAAATTTTAAAAGGTAGAAAAACAGACTGTGTATATTTAACCTTTATAAGTTTGAATGTCAGGAAAGATGACAACATTCTACATAGTACAAGAAATGTATCAACTATATTTACCCCGTAGTCCCTATAGGTCTTATCTTCCTGCCAGATTTTGGACTTCAGGAACTGTGACTTCTGGGTAGGTCTTAGGAGACAGCTACACTTCAATAGTGTTGGAGGATGTTAACCATCCCCTGGGGAAAAGGGACTAAACTCATGTTGTCCCCAGATGTACTGTAGGTTGTCATAAAAACTCTCTCTTTATTGGGGGTGAACTTAGGGCTCTTAAGAGGTAGCCATGTAACAAGATTAGCTCCACAAAGCTCTATAGTTTTTCCTAAAAGGGCTTGGGCAGCATTGCCAACTAGGTCAAATTAGACTGTGAGCTGTTCTCTCTAAAGCACATAAAGTTTGGAGCCCCCGTAAAAGATGTTCCTCCCTTCATGCTGGCAAAGCCTGATTCTTTTCTCAATCAGTCCCACACAGTGAACACAAAAGAGGAAAGCCTTAATCAATAAGGTAAAAATCGTTGTACAAGTCATTGCACAAATCAGATTAGTTAGGTTAGGAAGTTCCAAGGCTTAGTGATTTGGAGGCTGGAGAAATCTATCTCAGCTATCACATAGAGAGTCAATATTTTCCACGAAGAAGGGAAATCTTTGGAAACTTGCAGCAAATCTCAGCTCATGCATTTTTAGCAGGAGCTTGGTCATGTCCACACTGAAACCATCAGGGCAGAGGGAATGAGGACCTCCTAGTGTGTTCAGATCACTCATAATTCCCTCAAGGAATAAAAAAGAGCAGAGAGGTCTTTGCTCTGAGCATACTGGGGTGATTGTCACACACTACCTGACTGCTAGTAGAAGTAGAATGGTTTCTGCAGCAGACACTGGCAATGACATAACTCAGGTAAGGGGCCTGGGAAGGTTAGAAAATGCAGCATAGCTCCTGAATGCTTCCCACATACCTGGCACTTATAGGTGATTCCCCCATTGTAGATACCCAGATGTACAAAGTTCAACTTCTGGTGTTTAGCTCCCTCACAAAGGCTATTCTCAAAGCTTTTTCTCTTTTTTGAGTTATGCTATGTTGAACAAAGAGACAATACATTCCCTGCAGTCTTAAGGCCTCTTGCCAGCATGAAGTCTCTTGTGTGCTAAATGAGCTTAAAAGATAGAGCTAAATGGTCACCAAAACTGCTATGTTCATGAGGCCTTTCTCCAGTGTGAACTTTTATGTGCCACAAAAAGTGGGAGCATCTGCTGTAAGCTTTCCCACATTCGCTGAACAGATAGTGTCTTGCGCCAGTGTGAACATTCTGGTGTTTGAGGCTGGAGTTGCCATGAAATCATTTCTATGCTTATAAGTGTGATTAACATACATTTTTACTTTCTTGTGCTTTTCTGTCATATTTATTGCTAAACTCATAAAATAATTGAGGAATTATCTATCTTCTTTTCTGTATATTAGAACAGTTTTTGTTCAATTTAAATTAGCTTCTTTTAAAAAACGTTTAGTTGGTTTGATATCTTTGTGGTTGAAGAAATTTCACTACTCTTTCTTTTATTTTATGGTTTTCTTCTTGATGGTCCACCTTGCTGGTTTATATTTCCTTAGGATTTTTTCATGTTATACAGATTTTCATATTAATTCCTAAAACGTTGTTCATTATATGTTATTATTTTTAACTTTATTTAATGTTAAGTAATATATTACTAAATTATTTGCCCACTTTTATTACTGATGCTGTTTATTAAGGGCTTTCTTCGCTTTAAAAATAAAATTACAGGACAGGCGCGGTGGCTTATGCCTGTAATCCCAGCACTTTGGGAGGCCGAGGCAGGCGGATCAAGAGGTCAGGAGATGGAGACCATCCTGGCTAACACAGTGAAACCCCATCTCTACTAAAAATACAAAAAGAAATCAGCTGGGCATGGTGGCGGGCGCCTGTAGTCCCAGCTACTAGGGAGGCTAAGGTGGGAGAATGGCGTGAACCCCGGAAGCGGAGGTTGCAGTGAGCCGAGATCGCGCCATTGCACTCCAGCCTGGGCGACAGAGCGAGACTCTGCCTCGAAATAAATAAATAAATAATAAATAAAATGAAATTATACTTGACAAGGTTTTGTCTGTTTTGTTATTCTTGTCAGAAACAGTTTATGTATCTGTTGTTCAAATCTATAGCTTTTTTGTTTCATTATTTTACTTTAATAATTATTTCCTTCTATTTAGAGTGTTTTGTAATTTCCGTTTTGAGTTTCACTTTTACCCACAAATTACTCAAAATTGTGCATTTGTTTTTTGAGATATTTGAATTAGTGTGCTATGTACATTACCTTTTTGTCACTGATTTTAAAAAATTTTACTGTATGTTTTGTCACTTTTGTATTGTGGTTTTGGGGAAATCTGGAACTTTAATTGTGCTTTTACTTGTGCTTGTGTACATTTCTTCAAGTGCTTGAAAATAAATTTTATTTCATTCAGAGTGCAAATACAGTAGATGTATTAACTTAAGACTGCTACTGGGTTATTTCCCTCCTTTACCCAATTCCTTGAACTGCTGGTATCTGAGAGACATGTGTTACCTTTTCCAACTATCAGTTACTCTTTATAGCTTTACTGAATTTGCCTGATTAACCTTAGAATGGAAGGTTTTACTTAGAGCTGATTCCTCCCACACAGAGTGCAGGCAGGTTCGATTTATATTCCTGACTCTAACAACCCTCTGGCGAGAGCTTTCTGCACCAAATTCTGTACAATCTTAGCACAAGTATAGTCACTACTTTGTTCAATCTTATGGAGAATGTTAAAGAAGCTAATTGATATTCCCTCATCTCTCTACTGGTCCATGATATTTCCCAACTTAACTCAGATATCCTGCCACTGTTATCAGCGGTGGGTTTTCCTTGAAAATGCCCAAAACCTCAATTGCTTAGCCTAGCAGAGATTTTACTAATCTAATGCATTTTTCAGACTTTGACCTTGACCATCTATCCACATCTTCCTCCCCCCTGCCTTGTCCATGTTCACGTTCTGAAAAATAGCTCATCTTTCAATTACTGTTTCACTTAAAAACAAGGGGGATATTTTCTCCATGGTTGTATATGGATATCTAATTTCCAGCTACTTAGATGGGGTTTCCTATTCCAAGTAGGGTCTCCCTTGGCTGGGAATGGGGATGGGAGAGGTTATATCAAATACATCTCACATGCCTCTTCAGAACCTCTTGGCTTTGTGTCTCAAGCTTTTGGGCACCTGATCTTGTCCAGATGCTGCTGTGTCTACCACCTCAGCATGGACTCTAGCCAGCTTCACATATGCACAAACTAGCAACTTTTCTTATGTAACACTTCTCTAGAGGCATTCCTCTTTGGCACTGAGACATAAGATGTTGCAAGGCATGCTTAGTTCCAATGTGAATGCAATCCAGCAGAATAATGGAGCAAACCTTGGAGCAGTAAGAACTGGGAACCTGGAGCCAGCAGTAAAGCCTCCCACCCTCCTTCCAGATGGGTTGTCTTGAGACGCAGTTGTTCATATGCCACCTTGGAAGTTGGTCCCATGAGATGGCTCAGTCAGTAGTGCATGATACCAAGCACTTGTCCAGTTAGAAATGCAGAATTGAATTGCTTTTCTCTTCCTTTTCCCCTCATTATGTCCCCTTCTTTCACTCCTGTTCCCTGAGGTGCAATCTCTAATAATATAATAGCACCTAAGTTAGTGTAACAAGTGTTTCTGGAGAAACAACACCAAGCTGGGGCGAAGAAATGCATTGCAGAGCTCCATTTTCCTTTCTGTTTGTAGCTTCTAGGGTGATGGTATATTTTACACAAAATTGATGAGTGAGCTAATATTCTATGGATACATCCAGCCCTGAACTGCACATGTCCACAAGGACAGTCTAGATAAAAAAATCGCTTGACTTCATCTCTCATGGCTTCTTGTACAATGTATTCACATCTTGAGTTATGCTAAAAGGGTGAGAAGGACATTCTCAACTCTTGTATATAAGTTTTCTGCAATGCAAACTCAGGTTCTTAGGATGTGAGTGACCAAAAAGAGCCTTTCCATCTCACTGGGATGCACCTGTTCTGACCAGGGAAAGTTATTGAGATGATTCTGTTTGGTCCCACTCAAGTCCATATGCAAGAAGCTCTTCCTTTTACACTCACTTCTCTAGGTGACTGGGGTCCCACTCTACATGTAAGGTCTTATGAGTGTCTTTAGATGAAAAAAAAGAGGCCTGTCCTGAGAGGCTACACTGAATGTGAATTGAGCGAATCTAGAGGTAGCCTGACTAACATCACACCTGCTGGACATTTTCATGTTGATTTGTAGGAAATAAACTGTCTGCTATTAAAGTGAGATTTAAAAAAATCTTCATCAGGTACCAACAGTAAGACAAATGAATCACCCCTTAGGTTCATTCCAAGTTGGATCCTGTCATTCTATATTCTAATGCCTCACAAACCTTTTTCACTCTTCATTATTTCCTCTATCATTCCTCTCCCCTAAATCAAGGAATTTCTTTTTACTTTGGAGAGCTGAGAAGGGAGGAGGGAAGCTTTTCAGATTTTTCTGCTGATCATAACTTCTTCTAAATATATTGATTCTGAATCCAAATTATCCCTATTCCTCTAAACCTAAATGTTTGAAATTCAAAAACCAACATTTGATTATTTTTATGTCCCCCCTCTCCATTTCTGCTGAGTCAAACATAATGGCTATCTGATTAAGTAAGAGTTAAAGGGTAAAAAGAAATATCTGTAATAGGGGAACTTTGTTAAATTCTTCATGAATATTGTCCTGCCATGTTCCTGATGCTAATTGTACTTTCTTTCTTTCTTTTTTTTCCTATAATTGTCTCTTTCCTTCACTCTTTCTTTCACAACCCGCAAAATCAGGCACTTTAAAGAATAATAATAAAATAAACCTTTATGACCTTTATCAAGATGAAGGAGATTCACCACACTGATCACTGAGCAGAAGAAATTGTAAAATGGAACTTTTAATATTTTAAAGCCATTTGGAATGCAGTTTGCATGAATGACTCAGATCTGTGGAGGGATGATGACCCTGGAGAATTTGCACTGACAACCATGGGAAGAAGACATGAGAGAGTAGCTTTTAATTGCATATTTAATTGACCTTGCAAGAAAATCAGTCTCATATTTGGTGAAGAGTACAATTACATAAAGATTCAAAAATATTATCATCCAAATAAGTTACTCAGACTATTTTATATTATTATTAGAATCACATAATATCTATACTCTGCATTATTTTGACAGTGCTAAGATAACCACCATCATGCTTTATAGCAGAAGGGATGGAAAGTAGTTAGGAGATAAAAGAAAACAGCTTCTATCAGTATTTTAGTAATTTTTAATCAATAACTATATCAAAGACTGAAAAGTTTTCAGATATAGTATTGAAACTGTCATATTTATAGTTAGTATAGATGTGCAATTTTTAAATATTTGTATAATTTTAAGGTGGCCTATTGCTTTTCCAGTCAATTGGACATTAATGTAATTTACAAGCATGCAAAATCAGTTATTTTTGTATGTTTTCACTTTGGATAAAGCTAAATAAATTGTTATTTTAAAGAATAAACACATGTAATTTTTTCCAAGGGCACTTGTCCCAAGAACCTTTTTCAGACAGGTTTTAGGGGACAAAGTTAACAAATATTTAGAAAAAGGCCTTGGCTCCTATAAAAATAAAACTTAGCCAAAGTCCTGTGTATAAGAGGAAACAGAAAGATAATTTTAGAAGTTACAAGATACGAAATGATCACTGTTTTATGTGAGAGAAAGCAAAAGTATTTTCTCAGACCCAGGACATAGACCAGACAGTCACTTGTCATGATAAGCAGTAATTTTGGGTGAAAGAAGCAAGATCTAAGGTCACATGGGAACTGTGACCTATTAGAACTTTAGCTTGGTTACTTATGAGTACATTTCCATATAGAATTATGTGAATTGCAGTTATGACTCTCAGAATATAAGCTACAAAATGTTTGACAATTCCTAAAGCTCCAGCCTATCTGCCCCAGTCATACACTGCATTAAAAGAAGTAGCATCCTTGCTGGGCACAGTGGCTCAAGCTTGTAATTCCAGCTACTTGGAAGGCTGAGATGGGAGGATAGCATGAGGCCAGAAGTTTGAGGCTGCAGTGAGCTACTATCTCGCCACTGCCCCCAGGCCGGGTGACAGAGCAAGACCTCTTCTAAAAAAAAAAAAATAAGACAAAACAAAAACAAAACAAAACAAAACAAAACAAAACAAAACAAACCAAGGTACTGATCAGAAACCACTTCTCCTAATTCATCCTAGATGTGGCCCATTGATGTAGGGGAGAGTAAAGAAAAAATACCTCTCTTCCCAATTCAGAGAAGGAAGAGGGGAAGCAGTTGTGTAGGACACAGTAGCACCATACTGAAGAGCTTGCCAGCTAATTTCCTAGGAACTTCATTCATTCATTCATTCATTCATTCATTCATTTAGCATCAAAAAGGAGGAAGACATTGAACATCAAGCAGGATTTTATTGGCCTAGAAACTATGAGAAAAAATAGTTGTTGCCCTCAAACTACCCTACTAATGAGCTACAAAATGTGAGGCTTTTTTTTTTTTTTTGCATGTGTATACATGTTCATGAACAAACCTTCAGGATGGCTTTTATATTCTGAAAACAATATGTAATCAATTAACTTAGTTTTTTAAAACCAATGTTTAATTAATTACAGTCAGAAATTGAAACACCTGATTTTTCCACAGGCTTTAGGTTCCACTTGACAGTTTTATTATTTTATTATTTTGAAGCTGGAAAACTTAATCAACTTTAAAAGGCATTTAGTAAATATTTGGTCCCATTTAAAATACCTTGGAACAATTTTAAACCGCATATTTAAATGTAATATTAAGTTTCCTCCTTACATATACCACTTATCTGAAGTGTATATCTGACAAAGGTCTAACATCCAGAGTCTAAGAAGAACTTACACAAATTTGCAAGAAAAAAAACCAACCCCATCAAATAGTGGGTGAAGGATATGAACGGACACTTCTTAAAAGAAGACATTTATGTAGCCAACAAGCATATGAAAAAAAGCTCATCATCACTGGACATTAGATAAATGCAAATCAAAACCACAATGAGATACCATCTCATGCCAGTTAGAATGGAGATCATTAAAAAGTCAGGAAACAACAGATGCTGGAGAGGATGTGGAGAAATAGGAACGCTTTTACACTGATGGTGGGAGTGTAAATTAGTTCAACCATTGTGGAAGACAGTGTGGTGATTCCTCAAGGATCTAGAGCTAGAAATACCATTTGACCCAGCAATCCCATTACAGGGTATATACCCAAAGAATTATAAATCATTCTACTATAAAGATACATGCACAAGTATGTTTATTGCAGCACTATTTACAATAGCAAAGACTTAGAACCAACCCAAATGTCCATCAATGATAGACTGGATAAAGAAAATGTGGTACATATACTCCATGGAATACTATGCAGCCATAAAAAAGAATTAGTTCATGTCTTTGCAGAGACATGGATGAAGCTGGAAACCATCATCCCCAGCAAACTAACACAGGAACAGAAAAATCAGACACCACATGTTCTCACTCATCAGTGGGAGATGAACAATGAGAACACATGGACACAGGGTGGGGAGCATCACACACTGGGCCTGTCAGGGGTTGGGGGGAAAGTGGAGGGAGGGAGGGAGAGCATTAGAACAAATACCTAATGCATGCGGGGCTTAAAACCTAGATGATGGGTTGATAGGTGCAGCAAACCACTATGTCACATGTATACCTACATAACAAATCTGCACATTCAGCACATGTATCCCAGAACTTAAGGTAAAAAAAAAAAAAAGAAAAAAAGAGAGTTTTACTTAAAAAAAAATGGATTGAACTGCCTAAGTAATGAACTTCACATCATTGGGAAGCTTCAAGAAGTTAGTGCATGAAAACCACCTTTCAAAGTTGCTTTATGGGGATTCCTTATTGATTTTTGAGGCTAGACTAGGCTAAAAGTAAGTGCTTTCCAGCATATACTAGTGATTCTTCATTATTATGGAAAAAACTCACATGTAGAGATGATCAATGAAGAAAAAACTTTAAAGATGTTTGTGAGGCACTGATTTATATTTATATTGTAGTTTGCGACAGCGGCCTCAGATGTCCTTTTCTTTCTTTCTTTTTCTTCCTTCCTTCCTTCCTTCCTTCCTTGCTTCCTTCCTTCCTTCCTTTCTCTTCCTTCCTTTCTCTTCCTTCCTTTCTCTTCCTTCCTTTCTCTTCCTTCCTTTCTCTTCCTTCCTTTCTCTTCCTTCCTTTCTCTTCCTTCCTTTCTCTTTCTTTCTTTCTTTCCTTTCTTTCTTTCTTTCTTTCTTTCCTTCTTTCTTTCTTTCTTTCTTTCTTTCTTTCTTTCTTTCTTTCTTTCTTCTCTTTCTTTTTTTATTATACTTTAAGTCCTGGGATACACGTGCAGAATGTGCAGATTTGTTACACAGGTATACATGTGCCATGGTGGTTTGCTGCACCCATCAGCCCATCATCTACATTAGGTATTTCTCCTAATGCTATCCCTCCCCTAACCCCCCATCCCCCGACAGGCCTCACTGTGTGATGTTCCCCTCCCTGTGCCCATGAGTTCTCATTGTTCAACTCCCACTGATGAGTGAGAACATGCAGTGTTTGGTTTTCTGTTCCTGTATTAGTTTGCTGAGGATGATGGTTTCCAGTTTCATCCATGCCCCGGCAAAGGACATGAACTAATTTTTTTTTTACGGCTGATTCTATGGTGTATATGTGCCACATTTTCTTTAACCAGTCTTAAGATTGATGGGCATTTGAGTTGGTTCCAAGTCTTTGCTATTGTGAATAGTGCAGCAATAAACATACATGTACATGTGTGTTTATAGTAGAATGATTTATAATCCTTTGGGTACATACCCAGTTATGGAATTGCTGGGTCAAATGGTATTTCTAGTTCTAGATCCTTGAGGAATCGCCACACTGTCTTCCACAATGGTCAAACTAATTTACACTCCCACCATCAGTGTAAAAGTGTTCCTATTTCTCCACATCCTCTCCAGCATCTGTTGTTTCCTGACTTTTTAATGATTGCCATTCTAACTGGCAAGAGATGGTATCTCATAGTGGTTTTGATTTGCATTTCTCTAATGACCAGTGATGATGAACTTTTTTTCATATGTTTGCTGGCTGCATAAATGTCTTCTTTTGAGATGTGTCTGTTCATATCCTTTGCCCACTTTCTTTTGGGGTTGTGTTTTTCTTGTAAATTTGTTTAAGTTCCTTGTTGATTCTGGATATTAGCCCTTCTGCACAACAAAAAAACTATCATCAGAGTAAACAGGTGACCAACAAAATGGAAGAAAATTTTTGCAATCTACCCATCTGACAAAGGGCTAATATCCAGATTTCCTATTTCATATGAATGTTTTTCTAGGAAAAAAAGCACTTAAATGTAACATTTCTATGTGCTTTGTGGGTGTTTTCTGTTGTTAGGAATAGCTCTATCTTTTATGATAGAGATGTGTCTAAGCTTTGAAATTTTTTCCTAACTAGTAATAATTTTTACTTTATTCCTCACTTGTTGTGTTAAATGCCACTTTGTGCAATAACTAATTTTATCGCCAATTCTAACAAATATCAGAAAGCAAATTCCTGTATCTGATTCAGGAAATACAGTTCTTAAACATTGACAGGATTCAACATACCCTCCCAAATAAACATACATTGAAATAAGTAGTATATATTTATCTTTCTTTAGAGAAAGAACATTCAAATTTCATTTCTAGTTTTAATTAGCAGTTACTTTCTTATTTGGGGACCTCTTTCATAAAACATGCATTCTTAATTTTTTGCACAGCCCCCCCAAAATTTTTTTCTGGCTCAGTTTTCATGTAACTCATTTTTTAAAGTGGAAAATAGAGGATATCATGTTTGCTTTACACATTGGTGGTTATTTATCAATCTAGAGGAAGATGGTTGATTGGGGAGAGGATGTTCAGAGATGACAGCTCAGGCAGCTATACTCAGAAATATGGGGGGCTTAGAACTTCAAGGGGTTGAGACAGGTAATCAAGTCCTATAAGTCTTTTAAAAATAAAAATCTACTCATGGTCTCTTACTATGTATGTATGTTTCATATATTTGAAACACATTTAACTTACAAAAGGTTTAAGTTAAAAATTGCTCTTGGGTGAAATGAATGGATATATACCAAAGACAACTAAAAGAGAAAATTATGTAAATACTGACGCTTCTGGGATATTCAAAGCCACTGCAAACACGAATACCCCTCATGTTGTCGTGACTGGATATATATTTATAAAGATCTCCATGTCCTCCAGGTTGCTATTTTTCACTAACTAATTTAGGCAGATTTTATAAAACTTTCCTACGTGGTCAGATGTATAATATTTTAAAAAACACAAAGAAACAAAAATTATGACCTTGCAGTTTTTAAAAACAACTCCAGCATTTCCTGAGAGATTACCTTGTTGTAGGCAGAGCTGGTGGTTCAAGTGAGGCCTGGCCACTATGCATGAGAAAAAGTAGAAGGCATAGTTTGTTGTCATCTACACATGGGTCAGTGCCTTGTCACAAAACTGCCATTTAGTACCTCATAGTGCTCAATATTGAAAACAGTAATAGAGATATAAAGAAACTTTTTCCCCGACACTTTATTTCTGTCCTCTTTCTCTCCCAATACTTTACATTTACTTGAAATAGCCAGTGAATTTTAACATCTTCCCTTTCTGACATATGACATTAGAGCTCTGCTCACTTAGCACCTCAGTAATATTCATTGCTTTTTCAGCATATTTCAAAGCTTTTTCTTTCCCAAATTTTGACCTAACAACTACTGAGAACCTATTATTCTATCACTGTAGGGCATAGAAAGTATAATTAAACGTGATACTTCTCCACAAAAAGCTAAGATGTGCATAAATAACTAGAGTGATAGTTCAAGTTGACATCTCAGAGATAAGGGCAAGTGGAAATTGTACAATAGAGAGATTGCCTCCAGCTGGTGAGTTTGGAGGAGGCTGCTCAGCCTTTTAACTAGGCTTTGAAAATAGACAAAGCACTGACAAATGCATATGGCAAAGAGTTGCTGTTAACTTGCACTCTTTCCTTCCCCTCCTCTACTCTCTTGAATGCGTGCTATCACTCTTTCATCCCCATCTATGGTCTAAACCCACTTGTCATAGCTACCTTCATGTTATCAAATCCAGTGGTCAACTCTCAGTCTTCCCCTTCACTGAACTTTCAGTGGCATTTGATAGAATTTATCTGCCCTCCTTCTTAAAACACTTTCTTTTCTTAGCTTATGAGACACCATGCTACTCTCCTGATTTTCCCCATGCTTTGGTGCCCACTTGTTTCCAGCTTCCTTTGTTATAATCTGCTTTTACCCATCTTTGAATTTTACTATGTCCCAGAGTCGAGTACTGAGACTTCTATCCACACATTTCAATAGGTCAGTTGTTCTTAAGTGTGATTGCACATGAGAATGACCAGAAAATATTTTAAAATTTAGCATTACTCTGACCCCTCTGCTCAGATTTAGATTCAGATGGGGATGGGAGGGCATCAGTATTTTATTTTAAAGCTCCCCCAGTGAATTAAATGTGTGACATGATTGAACAACAGTGAATAGGGTGATCTCATCCAGTTCCATGACTCCAAATGTCACCAAAAAAAAATCCGGTGACTCAGATTATTATCTCCAGCCTTGAGCTTTCTGTTTAACTCAAGCCTCATAACTAAGGGATTACTAGAAAATTCCATTTTGCTGTCTAATGCCTATTTCAGTTAACATGTCCAAAATAGACCTTTTGATTCCTCATCAAATTTTCCATTTATCCAAGGTTTCTTATACAGAAAATGGAACATGCCGTAATCCACCCTGCTGTTCAGGCCCCAAACTTGGGAGTTATCCTGGATTACTGTCATTCTCTCTTTTCCCACATCCAACTCATTAGTAAATATACTTATTACTATCTTCCAAAGTAATCTTTAATTTGCTTATTTCATACCACTTCTTCCCCAATATCTGCAGTTTAAGTCACCATAATTTCTTAGTTAGACTAGTCCTTAGCCTCCTAATTCATCTCCTGTATTCACTCTTTCCATCAACCCCACCATCTGTATACAGCTGCAATGTAATCCTTCTAAAAAAATAAATAAAATCATACCACTTTTCTGCTCTCAATCCTCCAAACAGTTTCTATCACACTTAGAATAAAACCCATTTATTTACTATAGTCCATATGATTGGGGGATTGACCTCTACTTACTCTGGCCTCATTTCTCACCATTTTTAGAAACCCCTCATTCAAGGTGCATTGGCCACAATAGTCTCCTTGCTATTCCTTGTATACCTCACACATGCTCCTATCATGGGCCTTTGTGCTTACTATTACATAGATCCCAATATGATGTGGCTAGCTCTCTCGTATCATTCAGACTACAGGCATCTGGTCACATGTCACTCCTTTCAGGGAAAACTTCTGTGAGTGTTGGATCATAGGGACCTCTATCCCATTATTTTGTTTTATTTTTCATACCTGACATTTTGTTATGTTTGCTTACCTAATTTCTTTCTTCTCACTAGAATATAGGCTCCATTAGGATAGAATATAGGCTCCATTGGTTACTTCATCATCATATCTCCAGCATCTAGAACAGCATCTTAAATGTATAGGTAGGTGCTTGCTAAATGCATACTGAATACATGAATTCATGAATGAATGTACAAATGTAAAGGGAGGGATTTCAGGCTAAGGGAACAATATGAGTAATGGTATGGAAACAAGAATAAGTAGCTAGTTTGGGAGAAGACCATATTTGGATGAAGGATACTTAGAGTGGAGTGGCAAGAGATGGTTCTAGAAGGGAAAATATAACCCAGGATGTGGAGAACCCTAAATGACACATGGAATTTATGAAATGAGAAGCCATTGAATATTTTATGTGGGTTGTTTATTTGATTGAAATAAGGCTAAAAATCAAACGATTTTATAGCTTAATACATGTAGTGGGTAAGGGAATAGGAAGAATCAAATATGATTCTCAAATATTAGGCCTGTATAATTGAAGGATTGTTAATGGCATCAATAAAGAGAAAGAAGACAGAATAGTGGGACATTTTTGTTTTGATACTGCTTATAGTAACTGGTAGATTTGAAGTTTGAAAACATAATCATGTATCATAGATGTTAAATTTAATGGGCTTGTAAAACACTCTTGTGGAGATGCTGAAGAATCAGCTGCACATGAAGACATGGAATTTGGGAGAGAAGTCAGGGCTAAGCTTTAGGGTTTGAAAATTCTGCCCTAAGGGGATATGATGATATTTTGGGAGTGGATAAGATTATGAAATAGGACATTGTGAGGTAAGAAATGAGAGCTTATTGCTAAATTTTCTGAAATGTAACTTTAAAAGGTGATATGGGGAACAAATATGAGGAGAAACCAAGTAGTATTCAGAGAAATAGGAGGAAATTTCCATGGGATGCAACATTATGAAAGTCAAAGAAGTAAAGTGAAAAAAGAGAAGTTAAGCATCAGTTTAAGTACTGTAGAAAGTTTGAGGAGAGTGAAGAGATGAGCTCATTATTACTCCATTGGTGTGACTGTGGAGGTTTGGATTGACAGCTTGGCAGAATTTAGGAGAAAGTAGAAGGATAGTATCTTTATAGGGTAGCATGGTTGTGAAAAGGAGAGAAAAAACTGAAGAAAAAATACTTAAGGAGAGAAAAAACTGATTCATACCTCAAATTAAGCAAAAGAAGTTTTAGAGGAACAGATAGAAAAATCAAGAAGAGAGTGTTGGTTCATCCATGGACTAAAACCCTGCACATCATGTAAGATGGCTATGTTATCCCTGGAAAGAAGTACAGGTGTATCCTCTTCTGACTGAGGAAAAAAAGGGAGAAAGAGAGGGTGGGAGATATGAATGGATGAGTAGAGGTGAGAAAGCATATGTTAGTCACACTCTAAGTTGGAAATAAAGTAATCTTTCAAAGTTAGGTGCTGAGTGGTGTGGGAGAGGAGTTGGATAATATAGGTTAAAAGATGATGATTAACACAGTGTTGATGCCTTTTCATCCTGACCTACCTCTGTTCGTTTGTTTGTTTGTTTTGTTTTGTTTTTCCCCTAGACAGAGTCGTGCTTTGTTGCCCAGAGCTGGAGAGCAATGGCATGATCTCAGCTCACTACAACCTCCGCCTCCCGGGTTCAAGCGATTCTCCTGCCTCTGCCTCCAGAGGAGCTGGGATTACAGGCACGCGCCACCACGCCCAGCTAATTTTTGTATTTTTAGTGGAGACAGGGTTTCACCATGTTGGTCAGGCTGGTCTTGAACTCCTGACATCGTCATCCTCCCACCTTGGCCTCCCAAAGTGCTGGGATTACAGGCGTGAGCCACCACGCCCAGCCCTGACCTACCTCTTAATAAGTTATGTGGATATAGTTATATTTAGATTTTTTTAAATGCACAAATAAAAATCACATGTAAATATAAAGTATATCGCTGTTGTAATTTATAAAAATGTTTTTTCTTTGCCATATAAGAGAAATATAATATCAGTTCGGGTATTTCTTGGATAAAAATATTTTTCTGAATGAAAATGAACATTTATCTACTATGATGATATGAATGATGATGCCAAGGCGTCTTTAATCCCAGGTACAGCTAGCTGTTAAATATCTTTTCACAAATAGTTAATGGTCTTCCTTTCTTGCAAAGGAGCATCACATTATTTTTTTAATTGTATATAAGTTAGGTAGAGAGTTCTAGAATTATTTCTCATAAATGAGTTCAGTTGCAGAAAGTACCTAGAGCTTAGAACAGTTGCTGGAACGTAGTAGCTAGTCAGTGTATATGAACTATACTTCATTATCACCATCATCTTCATCATCATCATCATCTTCATTGTCATCATTGTTATTGTTAGAAAAGGGCATATGAATTTGGATTACTAAATTATGTAAAATATTGACATATCCCATGTTTACTAATATTGTCATGGGTTTTTAATAATTTGAAACATAATGCAAAATCTTGTTATTAACTTTTTGATACTTGATGATAAAAAATTTTAAGTGTTCATATTTATGGTCAAGGCACTGATCAGTATTAATATATTTGATATCATGTGACTATCATATTTAGTCTCATGAGAATTTCACTGTAGTTCAGCATTAATTAAATGTACTATTAAATTGAATAGCTTAGCCTTGTGAAGCTAATTAGTATTCTTCAAAATAATGCCAATCATAATGGATTCATTTGATATTAATATGAATGTTATATATATTTCTACAAAAATTTTATTATAGTTGTTACTAATGCATTGTTGTAATAAAGGATATAAAAGGCAGAAAGTAAATGGTTAATCTATCTAATGGTTTTTAGATAATAATTTTATCCTATTAGAAAAGAAAAATTTATTTTTACTTTATATTTCAGACTTAGAATTTCTTTTATATATTAAAGCAGAGATTTGAAGGGTACTCAAATGTGAAAGGGAAAATAACACAATAAATGACACTAGAGTTATCCGTTTCTAAAAAGAGCCAAAAATCTATTCTAAAAAGTTCACTTATATGAGTCTGACATTTGTGCTGTGATTTGCTTCAGGCATAAAGTGGGAATTATCATTCTTTATTATATTATTAGTAAATGGTACCAGCATTTTAATATATAAATACTGACTCTTGTAGTAAAATATGAATCTTATTAGTAGGTTTCAAATCAGAATAGCTAATGTACCCATTTTAACGTGGTTTATTATAAACTTAAACTATAATAGGGCTGACGTATTTATTCCCTCCCTCAAGTATCTTGCCATACTGAATTGAAATAAATGGACTACCTGTTTAATGTAATTTTATTGTTTTTACTTATAATATTTTCTAAAGCCCACATAGATTTTTTTGCTGGCTTAATTACTAAAAATTACCCTAAAAACAATGCTGGACTAAATACGAATATGAGATGTTAAAAGTTACTATGTGCAGTTAGTAATGGAGAAGTGTGATCTTTTCTCAGTATGGAGTAGTTTCTGTTAGAGATAAGAGCAGGACACTTGTGAATGTACCATGAAAATATTTAAGTTCTTTTGTTTCTTTTTTTTTTTTTTTTGCCAGAATCAAAGCCTATCTCCAGGTTTAGCAATAGAACTGGCATGCTTAAATAAATAAACAAATATCTTAAAGCAAGTAAACCCTGAGTGTTAAATATAGTTAATTTATTTTCACAATCTGATATACATTTGGTTATCCCAGAATAAGGACTTATGCCTGGAAATAATATTGTCTTACTTTTAATTTACCTTTATCATGGTGTATATCAATTTCATGACTTTAAAAAGCTTGACACATTTATCTATGGGTAATAGAGTTATCATATTTCATTGCTTAGATATATCCTGAATAGGCAGCCCAAAATCATTTTTACCAACTGATTCCTTTGTTACTCTTTGGACAACCAAGCACAGACCTAAATTTTAAGAGTGGTTGCAAATCATTGGCCATTTTCTTCAAGATCAAGGATACAAAGTGCTGAATCAAATTTGCAAAATAATAAACTGATACATATCTTCATTCCTTGAGGGGAATGGAGCTATAATATAATTCATTTAGATTTAAAACTAGTGTGCCTTTATATAGTCAGAGGAGATTTTTAGTAAAAAAAAATTATCCACTAACTAAATCTGCTTTACCTCATAATTGCAAATGGTGAAGGATATGACAAATGCAAAGCCTAGGCCCCTGGATCACAAATTTAAGGACAGGGTGCATAATTTTGACACCAAATTTGATTTTATTAGTCCTCCTATGCTATAGGAAGCACACGTTCTTTCCTACCATAAAAAACCTAGGGTTTTCTGATAAACATAGACCCACAACCTAGGACCTAAAAACAGTAGTAGACTAGAAAGATAGAACATCATCAAAATATTTCTGAAATAATGCTCGATTCTCTTAGCTGTGCCGCCTAACTTCTAGACTATATAAGGCCCTTATTCTCATGTACTAAATGATAACATACAAACAAGGATAAAGTTATACCAAGTTCTCACATGTTTTGTCCACAGAGTGAAAATTAAAATAAAAATTTACCTGGAGTAATTAGCCAAAAACAGTATGTGCCTTAACAGCTGAAACTTTTACTTCTCTCCTTCCTCGAACACAATTCCATATAAAGCTGGCTTTTTGTAAAATGAATCTGTTGGTAGATTAATTATTATCATTTTAAAACTGTTCAGTGGTATCTAGAGCTTTACTTTTAAATTTAAATTCTTATTTCCTTTACATTGATACAGAACAATCAATAATTCAACCTAGTTTCCCTTAGTCCTCAATATGTTTTCTGAATAGTTATGTCCAGTGAAGTTATTTTACAGTTTACCATAGTAAACAAGAGTTTTAAAAAGATGACTAACAGATTCCTGCCTCTTGCCTTTTTCTCTTTCGAATTGTTCTGTCTGCTTACCTGCATGTGGTCCTTCAGCTATTGTTCGCTTTTGTTTCTGTGACAGTCAATGAAAAAAAAAATGCCTGGAGACAGAGATAGGGAAAGGAAGGGTCTGTTTTAAGAACTAATTTTTTATGTGTATACATGTGCCATGTTGGTGTGCTGCACCATTAACTCGTCATTTACATTAGGTATATCTCCTAATGCTATCCATCCCCCCTTCCCCCGCCACAACAGGCCCCGGTGTGTGGTGTTTCCCACCCTGTGTCCAAGTGTTCTCATTGTTCAATTCCCACCTATGAGTGAGAACATGCGGTGTTTGGTTTTCTGTCCTTGCGATAGTTTGCTGAGAATGATGGTTTCCAGCTTCGTTCATGTCCCTACAAAGGACATGAACTCATCATTTTTTATGGCTGTATACTATTCCATGGTGTATATGTGCCACATTTTCTTAATCCAGTCTATCATTGATGGGCATTTGGGTTGGTTCCAAGTCTTTGCTATTGTGAATACTGCAGCAATAAACATACGTGTGCATGGGTCTTTATAGCAGCATGATTTATAATCCTTTGGGTATATACCCAGTAATGGGATGGCTGGGTCAAATGGTATTTCTAGTTCTAGATCCTTGAGGAATCACCAGACTGTCTTCCACAATGGTTGAACTAGTTTATGGTCCCACCAACAGTGTAAAAGTGTTCCTATTTCTCCACATCCTCTCCATCACCTGTTGTTTCCTGACTTTTTAATGATTGCCATTCTAACTGGTGTGAGATGGTATCTCATTGTGGTTTTGATTTGCATTTCACATTTACCCTAGAACTTAAAGTATAATTTTAAAAGTGGTATTATTCTTTATTTTGCAAATCTCTCTTTTTTTTTTTTTGAGATGGAGTTTCACTCTTGTCACCCAGGCTGGAATGCAGTGGCGTGATCTCAGCTCACTGCAACCTCTGCCTCCCGGGTTCAAGCGATTCTCCTGCCTCAGCCTCCTGAGTAGCTGGAATTACAGGCACCTGGCTAATTTCTGTATTTTTTTAGTAAAGATGGGGTTTTGCCCTGTTGGACAGACTGGTCACAATCTCCTGACCTCAGGTGCTCTGCCTGCCTCGGCCTCCCAAAGTGTTGGGATTACAGGCTTAAGCCACCGTGCCAGGAAAAAATAAAAAATAACGAATTTTTCAATTTTTCAATTGTCTTCATGTAAACTTCTCTAGTTTGCCATCAGTTACTTTCCTAAATGCAGCACAGCAAAGTGTCTACTATAGTTCTTTCAAAATATATCCTGGCAGCAAAGATATAGATTTTGGGATTTTTCTTCTAGTGTTATGATTTAGGTCATTCCCAGAGCAATAAAACGCACTGTATGTGAGACTTATAATACAACACAGAGAACAAAGTTTAAACTCTGGAGATGCTAAACTACAGCAGGTCACAGAGCAGTACAAAAGGGAGTAGAACATCAGAATATGTTTTCAAAACTGGAATATGAAAGGCTATCATTAATTTGCAAACACTGAGTACCTAACAATGTGCAATGTACTTTAGTAAGGTCAGTGGGCCATACAGAATTCAGAAAGACGTGGTTCCTGTGCTTGAGGAGTTTATAATCCACAGGCTGGAGTTCATGCCAGAAGCTCTCCCAGACTGGTGTTGCAGCCGATTGGACTGGAGTCTTGGATGAAATCCTGTCCCCTGGCTCCAGTAAGCATTGGCCTAGTGAGCGCTTTCCATGGTGGTCCTGACCCCACAATTGTGCTGGGCATTGCCCTAGTGGGGGCTCTCTTTGGGAAAAGTTTCTCTCTGGGCTCCAAGGCTGTCTGATACACACTTTGAAATCTAGGTGGAGGCAGCTGTGCTTCCACAGCTCTTGCACTCTGTGAGCCTGAAGAATTAGCACAATGTGTATGATGTGAAGGCTCACTGCTTGCACCCTCCAGAGTGCCAGTCTGAGTTACTCCTGGGCCTGCCTAAGCTACAGGTGGTATATCCAAGGAGCACTGTGCTGGAATGCAGGGAGCAGAGACCTAACGTGACACTGGGTAGTGACCCCTGAAAACAAGTGTCCTGGGTCCTCCCTTTAGACTGTTTTTCCTTCATGGCCCTATTACTCTGAGTTTGTGATGTGCATGGCAGCCTCATAGATGTCTGAAATGTGTTCCTGGTCACTCTCCCAGTGTCTTTTTTATAAATTTTATTTTCAGTTGGCCCTAATTCTAATTTTAGTTCTCTTGCAATCCACCACATCTGCAACTACTTCCTCAATTATAGTCCTGAACCTCTCAAATACATCCATGAGAGTTGGAATTAACATCTTCCAAACTTCAGTACAACTTAATATTTTGACCTCCTCCCATGAATCATAACTTTTCTTAATGGTATCCATTAATAGAATGATGAGTCTTCTCCAGAAGGTTTTCAGCTTACTTTGCCCAAATCCATCAGAGGAATCACCATCATAGAAATAGCCTTACAAAATACTTTTCTTAAGTAGTAAGATTTGAAAGTCAAAATTATTTCTTGATCCATGGGCTGCAGAATGGATGTTGTGTTAGTAGGCATGAAAACAACATTAATCTCCCTTTACATCCCCCTCAGAGTTCTTGGATGACCAGGTGCGTTGTTAATAAACAGAAATATTTTGAATGTAATCTTTTATTCTGAGCAGTAGGTCTCAACAGCAGGCTTAAAATATCCACTAAACCATACTGTAAATAGATGTGCTGTTATCCAATCTTTGTTTTTCCATTTAGAGAGCACAGGCAGAGTAGATTGAGCATAATTCTTAAGAATTCTAGAATTTTCTGAATGGTAAATGGGCATTGGTCTTAAAGTCACCAGCTGCATTTGCCCCTTGCGAGAAAGTAAGCCTGCCCTTTGAAGCTTTGAAACCAGTCATTGACTTCACCTCTCTAGCTAGGAAAGCCCTAGATGGCATCTTCTTCCAATAGAAGACTGTTTTGTGTCCATCGAAAATCTGTCATTTAGTTTAGCTTCTAAACTTCTTCAATTATCTTTTGGATAACTTGCTGCAACTTCTGTTATACAGACAGCTTCTTTCCCTGAACTTCATGAACTGATTTCTGCTAGCTTCAAACATTTCTTTAGCATCTTCCTTACCTCTCTCAGCCTGCATAGAATTGAAGAGAGTTAGAGCCTTGGTCTGGATTATGCTTTGGCTTAAAGTAGCCTGGCTGGTTTGGTCCTCCATCCAAATCAATAAAGCTTTCTTCAATTCAGCAATAAAGCTGTTTGACTGTCTTGTCATTCATGTGTTCAGTGGAATAACACTTTTAATTTCTTTGAATATCTTTTCCTTTGCATTCATAACTTGGCTAATTGGCACAAGAGGCTTAGCTTTAGTCCATCTCTGCTTCAACATGCCTTCCTTACTAAGCTTAATCATTCCTAGCTTATGATTTGTAGTGAGAGAGATGTATACCTCTTTTTTTTTCTTTCTTTTTTTTTTTTTTTTTTTACGGAGTTTCACTCTTGTTACCCAGGCTGGAGTGCAATGGCACGATCTCAGCTCACTGCAGCCTCCACCTCCCAGGTTCAAGCGATTCTCCTGCCTCAGCCTCCCAAGTAGCTGGGATTACAGGCATGCACCAACACACTCAGCTAATTTTTTTGTGTTTTCATTAGAGACAGGGTTTCACCATGTTGATCAGGCTTGTCTCAAACTCCTGACCTCAAGTGATCCACCTGCCTCGGCCTCCCAAAGTGCTGGGATTACAGGTGTGAGCTACTGTGCCTGGCTGATGTGTGCCTCTTCCTTACACTTGAACACTTAGAGGCCATTGTAGTGCTATTAATTAGCCTAATTTCAATATTTTTGTGTCTCAGAGAACAGGGAGGCCCAAAGAGAGAGAGAGAGATGGAAGAATGGCTAGTTTGTGAAGCAATCAGAACACATACATTTATTAATTTTGTCGTCTTATATTGATGCAGTTTGTGGCACCCCAAAACAATTACAATAGTAACATCAAAGATCATAGATCACTATAACAGATTTAATGATAATGAAAAAGCTTCAAATATTGTGAGAATCACTGAAATGTGACCCAGAGGCAAGGAGTGAGCACATACTACTGAAAAAATGGTATCCATAGACTTGCTCGATACTGGGTTGCCAGAAACATTTAATTTGTAAAATACTCAGTATCAGTAAAGCAAAATAAAGCCAAGCACAATAAAATGCAGTATGCTTGTGTCTTGTTCCTCCTTTCCACTTGAAACCTTATCAGAATACTCTTTACTGTTCATATTTCCATGAGCATTCTGGTCATGCACACTTAAGTCATATCTAAGTGGCCAGAGGCTTTCTTTACAGTTATTCTCTTCTTCCAAGTTCTCACCAGAATCACCCTTAATGCTTCATTAACGGTAATACAAGCTTTATCTAGCATTCACTTCAAAACTCTGCCAACCTTTACCTATGAGCCAGTTCCAAAGAAGACTCCACATTTTTAGTTATTTGCTATAGCAACCACCTAACTCCTCTGGTACTAATTTCTTAGTCAGTGACATGGTTTGGATTTGGATCCCTGCCCAAATCTCATGTTGAATTGTAATCTCCAATGTTAGAGGAAGGGCCTGGTGAGAGATCATTGGATCGTGGGGGAGGATTTCACCCTTACTGTACTTATGACAGTAAGTTTTCACAAGATCTGGTTGTTTAAAAGTTTGTAGCATCTCCCCCTGCTCTCTCTTCCCCCTTCTCCAGCCATGTAGGATGTGCCTGCTTCCCCTTCACCTTCTGTCATGATTGTAAGTTTCCTGAGGCCTCCCCAGCCATGCTTCCAGCACAGCCTGTAGAACTGTAAGTCAGTTAAACTTCTTTCATTTATAAATTAACCAGTCTCAGATAGTTCTTTATAGCAATGTGAGAATGGACTAATACAGTCAGGGTTCTCCAGAGAGAGAGAATAAATAGGTAATAGATAGATGAGATTGGGGGAATTGGCTGACAAAATTTTGGAAGCTAAGAAGTGCCACTTTAGGCTGTCTGTAACCTGGAGATCCAGGGAAGGTCATAGCGAGGTTCATCCCAAGTCCAAAAGCCTCAGAATCAGTGAAGTCAATGCTGTAACTCTCAGTCAGAAGCTGAAGGGTTGAGGGCCTGGAGCTTCCTCTGGTGTAAGTTCCGGAGTCCAAAAGCCAAAGGACCTGGAGTTCTGGTGTTTGAGGGCAGGAGAAGAAGAGTGCCCAGCTCCAGAAGAGAGAGTAAGAATTTGCCCTCTCTTTGTCTTTTTGTTTCATCTGGGACCCCAGCCAATTGGATTATCCCCATCTACATTGAGGGTAGATATTCCCCATTTAGTCCACTGACTCACATGTCAATGTCCTCCAGAAATATCCTCAGAGATGTTTTACCAGCTATCTAGGTAGTCATTAATCCAGTTGTGTTGACATCTAAAATTATCTATCACAGAGCATAAAAGTGCAATTTAGAATTTTTAAAAAACAGTCAGTACAGAGCTCCCTAAAAAGAATGTTACTAATAAGGTCTCATATGAGCAAAAATGGAAAAGACATAAAGGACTTAGTAATGTGTTTATCTGAGGGCAGAGAGTTTCAGAGAGTGAGGTTTGCCAGTTTAAGTGCCCTAAGGTCGAAGCTTTCCTGCAAATTTTCCTAAAATAGCAAGGAATCCATTGAAGTTGGAGTAGACTGAGTGAGGAGAAGATTGAAAAGGTCAGGGAACTAAAATATCAGCGAACTAATGATAGGGATCATGAGGATGGGTGGGGATGCCTATGGTTTAGGGAGGTACACCATAACTTTCAGTACTTTCACAGACCATTGAAGTCCCATTGTTTTCTAGCAGATGTTACTTAAATAATGTGCATTTTTTTGCACATTATTTGCTAAGGCTTTACTAAGGACTTGGCATCTTACTCTGAGAGAAATGTGAAGCCAATTGAAGGATTTTGATTGGAGGAGAGAGATAACCTAATTTATGGTGAAGAGGTTTTATATATGTATGTATGTGTACATATTTTTCATATGTCCCCAAGCTAGTGAAATCACTGAGAAATGGATCTGTGTTTGATTTAATTTTTTGCATTGTCTTCATCACCTAGCCCTCTGCCTTTTATAGCATTGTGACTGAATAGTTACCAATTGCTTATTAATTGATTTTGAAACTTAAAAATAGGATTTATATATTTTATAAGAAATGTATCTTGACATATAAAACTTGGCCGTGCTCAAAAAGTAAGAATTTTAGTTTTAAGTATCATAGCTACCTATTCACTTTTACAGAGGTAATGACTTTCAATACTTTCATAGACCTTTAAAGTGTCATTGTTTTATAGAAGGTGTTACTTAAATAATATGCATTTTTTCACTTTAAAAACAAAGATGTATAATCTGAACTGCTGTGCAGACAAAGTCAGTCAGGCTGCTGGGTGCCTAAATGTCCCAATAGCAATTTACTTCCCTTCCATGTGATGACAATTGGAGCTTAATATTCTCCAACTAATGGAGAAAAATAAAATGATTCTTGTTCCTGTGTAGTGATTAGACCCCCTTAAAGCCTGTACCTGAAAAGGAACTAGCTGGTGATGATCTTCCTTACCTCTAGTGTACTCATTTCACTGATGTCCACTCAGTAGCATGTATTCACTGAAATACAAATTTATGCTATTACATCATGTAAATTATTTAATATTATGACAGAACATATTAGTGATCAATGCACATGACTTCTTTGCAATTCTAGCTTTGCTTGGGCTTTGACCTAATGAGAGAGAGATACCATGATAAGGAAGACTAGATGTTACCTAGGGCACTCGAACCATGTGGCTACTCCCTGAATACATCTAAATGCTTTTGGTCTAAAAATGGTAATCTAGAGTTCACAAATTCAGAATTCCCCAGAAAATTAAACTTCCCCCTATAAACTAGCTCCACGTTCACTTTCACTTGTTTCTCTCTCTATTTTGCATCCTTGCTAGATTGAATTTCTATTTATTTTGAACTTTAGGCCTTCAATGCAGCCCAGTAAATTGGGAAGGACTTTGGAAATCAGGGCTTCCTGCGTTCTATATTCAGCCCTGAGACTGAGGAGTTAAAATATTTCTGAAAAGTTTTTGACCCCTTTGAACCTCAGATTGGTTGCCCGTAAAATGAAGATGAAGAAACAGTTGTCAGAAACATAAAATAATATAGCTGTATGTAAATTATATACATAATATGTACATATGTAATATTGAAAGTACATACATGAACATATCATGTGATATAAATTATATATATATGTTTTTGTTGTGTCAGTTCCATACTTTACCTTCATATCTACTATTTTTAAAATCTCTCCCATATAATAGGTTTTTGTTAAATGATAGTCCCATACATTGTCTTTAAATCATGCAAATACGTAACCTTGAAATTGTAGTTACCATATGGTATATGCTGGGAATCTAGTGCATTGCTTACAAATTTCTGAAGATTTTGACAGATGAATAGGTAAAAATTATTAGGGTAGAGAGCATTTGTAAATTAACATAGTGTTTTAGGACGTGGACAATATTTTCAAAATTATCTTATCTGATACTATGTTTTCCTTTTTTTAACTTTTAGGTTCAGTGGTCCATGTGCAGGTTTGTTATATAGGTAAATTGTGTGCCATGGGAGCTTGGTTTATAGATTATTTCACCACTCAGTTAATAAGCATAGTGCCCAAGAGGTAGTTTTTCAATCCTCCTCTTCCTTTTCCTCCCTCAAGTAGGCCCCAGTATCTGTTGTTCCCTTCCATTGTACTCAATGTTTAGCTCCCACTAAGAAATGAGACCACGGAGTATTTGGTTTCCTGTTCCTGCATTAGTTCACTTAGGACAATGGCCTCCAGCTCCATCCGTGTTGCTGCAAAGGACAAGATCTCACTCTTTTTTTTTTTGACTCTGTACTATTCCATGGTATATATGTACTATATTTTATTTATCCAGTCTACCAACATTTAGGTTGATTCCATGTTTTTGCTATTGTGAATAGTGCTGTGATGAACATATGTGTGCATGTGTCTTTATGATAGAATGATTTATACTCCATTGGGTATATACCCAATGGTGATAAAGTGGTGTTGTTTTTTTTTTTAATTTACCCTTTTCCTCCATATGTTTTCTGGGAGAAAGAAGATATTACAAAATTAGCTGCTTAGTCATAGAAGTCTTGGCTATAAACTGCTTGTTTATAAAGTCTGAGTTCGAAACTTCTCTAGTTAGAACAGTAGATATCTTTGGGTATACACCCAGTAATGGGATTGCTGGGTCGAATGGTAATTCTACTTTTAGTTCTTTGAGAAATTGTCAAACTGCTTTCCATGATGGCTGAACCAATTTACATTACACCATTAGTATATAAGTATTCTTTTTTTCTCTGCCCATGTTTACCTTTTACTTGGCATTTTTGTCAAGTTTTGGAGAAAGGATTAAAGAGGTTAATTTTCATTTTAATATATATTGTTGCAATGTAGGCCATATTTGTATTCTCATATTTAAAATTAGAGGTTAGATTTCCACTTTCAAGGTTAAATGAGAACTATGTGAAGCTTTCAGGGAAGCATGCTCTGTGCAGTTTATAAATCAAGGTGTCTATATTTCATCCATATTAGACCATGACGAGAGGCACCACTGTATGCAGAATGGAAAATTTACATAAATAATTTTAATCCTATAAGACTAAAGTCTGCAGGAAAAGTAGCAAGTCATTTCATGGGATCAAAGTTTAGGCTCTGGATTTAGAAAAATTGGTCTTGAATTCTAGGTTTTCTGCTTATCATCTGCATTTCAGGTTAAGCAAATTACTTAACCTTCTGGGACCTTAGTTAACTCATGTGAAAATGAGATAATGACTGCAATTAGCCCTCAGGTTTGCTGTACTGAGTTATTATGTTCACAGTACATGGCACTGAGACTGGTCCTTGGCAACCCACAGCAAATGATAACTACTCTTCTAACTAGAAAAGTTGATAAATCAGACTTTATATCCAAGCAGTTTATAGCCAAGAGTTTTATGAACAAGCAGCTAATTTTGTAATACCTTCTTTCTTCCAGAAATCGTATGGAGGAGAAGCAGGTAAAGTTATTAAAAAAAAAAAAAGCACAACTTCGAACTATATTTTCATTAAAACTAGGAGACAGAGGCCAGGCATGGTGGCTCACACCTGTAATCCTAGCACACAGGAGTTCAAGACCAGCCTGGCTAACATGGTGAAACCTCGTCTCTACTAAAAATACAAAAATTAGCTGAGCGTAGTGGTGCGTGCCTGTAATCCCAGCTGCCTAGGAGCTGAGGCAGGAATCACTGGAACCCGGGAGGCGGAGGCTGCAGTGAGCAGAGATCATGCCATTGCAATCCAGCCTGAGCGACAGAGCAAGACTCCATCTCAAAAAACAAACAAACAAAACTAGGAGACAGAAAAAATCAGCAGACTCCCAGTTGCATATACATTTCATCAAAGGTGAAGCCACACAGGAAGCACAGTGTTGTGAGGGTGACAATGGGGAAGAAGAGGGTGGTCAGAGGAGTTCTAAGGCTGGTGAGTCTCGTACATCTCCAGTCAATAGTTGCCTTCCACATGACAACATCCTACCTGAGAGGGAACCACTGTGAGTATAACCGAAATGGAACACCTCAAGGTTGCTGGAGAAGGAATAATGAAGCAAGGCTCACAAAGAGCTCAGGAGCCCATAGGTGGCAGATAGCAAAATGTGCCAGTAGAAAACAGTTTCTAAGAATGCATGATAGTGTAAGAAAGGGATGTGGAGGGAACTCAGAGATTCAGGCTGGCAGAGAAAGTTCACCTGAACTAGGCTGAGCTCTAAGAGCCAGAGCAGGGCTGTCAACAGAAAGGACAATATCTTAAGATATTCACTGTAGTGACAAAGGAGGGAGCTGGAAGTTGTGAAGCTTAGAATTCTACACTAGCATACTCTGTACCCTCCATCCCATCCTCCTATTAGAAGTCTAGGAAAATCTATCCCATTTAAATACAAGCAACAGGAAATGAGAAAGTTCTGCCTACACACATGGATACTATAGGATAAACAATGAAAAAGAGCAGCATATATTCCTATAGAATACGACTAAAACCTATCTGGAAATGGCTTCCTCAAAGCAGATGAAAGTTATAACTTAACATTGTAAAAAGAATTAAAAAAACAAACATAAAACTAACAGAATCAAATCCTTGAAAGATCAATTATAGTTATGCAGGAATACTATAAAGCTCAAATCTAAGAACTCAAGAAAAGGTGACCAGAAAACAGGAAGTGATGGCCTGAAAATAGGAGGATATACAACGTGAATCAACCTAACTCACTGAATAAATAGAAAAACAAAATTCTACAATGAAGACTAAATTACAAGGGGCACATTGAAGGATAGTCACCACAGAAAACACAAGAAGAGATAAGAAATAAATGAAAAGCACACTCTTGGAAACAGAAGCAAAAAAAGAGATTAAAATATTGAAACTAGGGCTTCTTGTAGAAAGGGTTATTACACATCTGAGTATGGGAATGTAGAATGTGAGCCTAGAACATCTGGTCATATGGGGAAAATTGGACATTATTACATAATATTAGAAGCATGCAGCAATGTGCTCAGGTAACAGTTCCTTCTTCAGGCTCCCTTGCAAGAAAAGGTGGCGTTTGGCCACAGTTCTTGTCAATAAGATATGAATTCTGCTTTACTGGGAAAGTTTTTGCTTTTCTGATATAATTGTCAACCATTTTTTCTTCAGTTCCCCTTCTTTCTGTTTATGTAATGGACATGAGACTAGTATCTAAACAGCCATCTCATACTTGTGAGGCAAGTTGTATGGGCTTAGAAGCCAACAAGCTAGGGGAGAGGACAGAAAAACAATACAAAGGATTGAGCTTTCTGTGTTTGTTTTTCAGTTTATTGAATGTTTTACTGATAGGCAATATTGAAGTACTGTCAGATTTAAAGGATACAACTTATATTAAACACTTCAGGAAGTCACTGGCGCTTACTAATTGCACCATTAATATTAGTTCCTCTTTATACCTCTTCTCATCTTTAAATGTATAGCTGAATATTAACAGCTACTTTTCTCCTTATGTTTCACTGTTTGTAAACAAGTTTTTTTTTTTAAATATGTTGCCGGAAGTCAGGGACCCTGAATGGAGGGACCAGCTGAAGCCATGTCAGAAGAACATAAATTGTGAAGATTTCATGGACATTTATTAGTTCCCCAAATTAATACTTTTATAGTTTCTTATGCCTGTCTTTACTGCAATCTCTAAATATAAATTGTGAAGATTTCATGGACACTTATCACTTCCCCAATCAATACTCTTGTGATTTCCTATGCCTGTCTTTAATCTCTTAATCTCATCATCTTCATAAGCTGAGGATGAATGTCACCTCAGGACCCTGTGATGATTGTGTTAACTGCACAAATTGTTTAAACAATATGAAATCTGGGGATCTTGAAAAAAGAACAGGATAACAGCGATGTTCAGGGAACAAGGGAGATAACCTTAAAGTCTGGCTGCCTGTGGGCCGGGTGGAACAGAGCCGTATTTCTCTTCTTTCAAAAGCAAATAGGAAAAATATTGCTGAATTCTTTTTCTCAGCAAGGAACATCCCTGAGAAGAGAATGCTTTCCCAAGGGGGAGGTCTCTGAAATGGCTGCTTTGGGAACGTCTGTCTTTTACGGCTGTTGATAAGGGATGAAATAAGCCCTGGTCTCCCGTAACACTCCCAGGCTTATTAGGACAAGGAAATTCCTGCCTAATAAATTTTGGTCAGACCGGTTGTCTGCTCTCAAACCCTGTCTCCTGATAAGATGTTATTATTGAAAATGCCTGCCCGAAACTTCATTAGCAATTTTAATTCCACCCTGGTCCTGTGATCTCACCCTGCCTCCATTTGCCTTGTGATATTTTATTACCTTGTGAAGCATGTAATCTCTGTGACCCACACACTATTCATACACTCCCTCACCTTTTGAAAATCACTAATAAAAACTTGCTGGTTTTGCGGCTCAGGGGGCATCACGGAACCTGCCGACATGTGATGTCTCCCCCGGGCACCCAGCTTTAAAATTTCTCTCTTTTGTACTCCTTCCCTTTATTTCTCAGACCGGCCAACACTTAGGGAAAATAGAAAAGAACCCACGAAGAATTATCAGGGGCGGGTTCCCCCGATATCTGGTGTGCCAATGTGGTTTTTTCTTTTTCTCAAGTGCATGTGGCAACCTGATTCCCTTTGGTAGGTGCAGAGAAACGTCATCGGTTTGGTCCACAGATACGCATGTTTGACTCCCTGATGACTGATGAGTAGTCTGTGTATGGTCGGGGTTAACTATGGGTCACATGGAGTATAAACATTATACTTATCTCTTCTATATTAAACTCTGGTTAAAACAGAAAACGGTCCGAGTGCCCAAGGGAAATATGATCACTCTGTTCAGGGCAGTGGTAAAATTCTGTCCTTGGTTTCCTGAAAAAGGAATCTTAGATGTAGACCTGTTAAAACAGGGAAGGGTCCGAGTAACCATGGAAAATAAGGTCACTCTATTCAGGGCGGTGGAAAAATACTGTCCTTGGTATCCTGAAAAAGGAACCGTATATGTAAAAGTATGGGATCGTGTCGGTGCCACATTCTGGGAACTGGTCTTGACAGGGAATTATGTTCCCGTCACTGTTTGGGGTGATTGGGCCTTGGTATGTGCCATCCTAATACCTCCTCAACTTTCCTCTCCCGCATTGCCTTCATCATCTGATCAGCCTCTCCCTTTGCCTACTCCTCCCCCATTTAACGATGCTGAGACTTCAATATCTAACTCCGATGACTTTGGCTTAATATTACCCCTACTTATCTTACTTCTTTTCATGAAGGGCCAGTACTTGAAGCTCCCGCAGCCCCGACTCACACAGCCCAGGACCACAGATATTCTAATTCTTCTCTCTTCAAACCTCTGGCATCAGCTAATGGCTGCAGGACCAAACTACAATTTACCTATAATTCTCCAGGCCCTCCCCCATCCACTACAGCCCCTCACCCTCCTGTCATTTCGGTTCCTCAACCAGTCTGCGTCGATATGCACCACTCAATCTTACCTTTTAAAAAGAATTTAAGGATACTTGTACTCAGTATGGTGCTACTTCTCCTTATGTTAAAATGGTATTACAAACTTTTTGTACTGAGGTCGTCTTGCTTCCTTTAGACTGGGACCTTTTGACAAAAGCTGTTCTAACCCCATCTCAGCCTGGTGGGCAGAGAAGGCCAGTTTTCAGGCTCAGCTAAATCGTACTAACAGCATTCTAATTACTCAGGCTCAGCTCACAGGCTCCAATAGTTTCTCTGATGCTTATGGCCAATTAAACTTTGATGTTCTTACCACATAACAAGTAACAAAGGTGTGTATGAGAGCTTGGGATAAATTACACACCCCAGGCCAAGCTCTTGTTTCCTGTACTGCTGTTAAAAAAGCTCAATTGCTTTTACTACCTAATATCGTTTTAAACAAAGGAGATAAGACACGTGGCCCTGGGATGGGCTCTGTCAGTGAAAAGGCTGCTTATTGGATTAATGTAATTTCTAAACAATGGCCCGCCTCCACCATCCACATTCAAGGAAAAAAGTTTTGAGGGCCTAGTACATACTGAGGCTGAAAATAATATTCCACATAACTCTTATAGTGCTCCCAGTCAACATATGATGGAAAACATGAGGTTTGTTCCTGGGCTGGGTCTCACTCCAAAGCATGAAGGGATTGTTAAACCCCTCCCAGTTACTGTAAAAGAAAACAGGGCGGGTTTAGGTTATCCTTTTTAATGGCGGCCGCTGCCATGCCTTCTGATCCTATCCCTTTACAATGGAAATCTGACACACCTATTTGGATTCAGCAGTGGCCGCTTTCTAAAGAAAAACTGGAGGATTTAACTCAATTGGTTTCTGAACAGTTACAACTTGGAAATGTGAAACCTTCTCTTTCCCCCTGGAATTCTCCTGTGTTTCTAGTAAAAAAGAAATCAGGCAAGTGGCGGATGGTAACCAATTTAATGGCCATTAATGCTGTAATTAAACCTGTGGGGGCAGTCCAACCTGGCATGCCTGCCCCTGCTTCAATACCTAAAAATTGGCCTCTCATAGTTATTGATTTTAAAGATTTTTTTCATATACCTTTACATAAATCAGATTGTGAAAAATTTGCTTTTACTGTACCGTCTATCAATAATCAGGATCCTGCAGCTCATTATCAATGGAAAGTACTTCCTCAGGGAACACTGAATAGCCCTACAATCTGCCAGCTTTATGTTGAACAAGTGCTTTCACCAGTTCGAGCCCAATTTCCCCAGGCCTATGTTCTTCATTATATTGATGATATTTTAATTGCTGCCCCCACTGATAAAGAATTAATTGACCATTATCAAATTTTGAGCTGCCTTATAACAGAGACTGGATTACACATCACTCAGTATAAAATTCAACAGACCGCTCCTGTTCAATATTTAGGAATGGTGGTCGATAAACAATGTATTCAACCTCAAAAAGTTCAATTTAGGAGAGATTCCTTGAAAACTTTAAATGGCTTCCAAAAACTTTTGGGTGACATTAATTATTTAAGACCTACTTTAGGTATTCTGACCTATGCGCTGTCTAACTTGTTTTCTATGCTGCAGGGAGATTCCAATCTCCACAGTCCCAGGACTTTGACCCCTGAGGCTTCACTAGAACTGGAATTAGTAGGGGAAAGAATACAGACCACCCAGTTATCTAGAGTACAGCCGTTTCAGCCTTTTCAGCTTCTGGTTTTCGCTTCATTACACTCCCCTACTGGACTAATAGTTCAACATAATGATTCAGTGGAGTGGTGTTTTCTTCCTCATTCTGTGTCAAAAACTTTGTCTGTTTATCTGGACCAAATAGCCATCTTAATTGGACAGGCAGAGTGTAGAATACTTAAAATTTCTAGATTTGATCCTAATTTAATTGTAGTTCCTTTAAATCGGCTTGAAATTCAAGCTGCCTTTCAACATTCCATACTGTGGCAAATTCACGTGGCTGATTTTATTGGTGTTATTGATAATCATTATCCAAAGAAGAAATTGTTTGATTTTATAAAAAGGACTTCTTGTGTGGTCCCTCGATTAATCAAAGATCAGCCTATTCCTGAGGCCATTACAGTGTTCACTGATGGCTCCAGTAATGGCAATGCTGGTTATGCAGGTCCTACAAACAAGCTTATTTCTACCCCTTATACCTCTGCTCAAAAGGCAGAGTTAATTGCTGTAATTACTGCCTGACAGGATTTCCCCAAACCTTTAAATATTGTCTCTGATTCTACTTAACATGGGAAAGAGGATATGCTTGTGTTTCACCAGGAGATCATCAAAAGAAAAGCAAAGGGAAAAGATGTCCATGTCAGAGACTGCCCTCAGAAGTGGTGAGATCTGTGCCAACTCCTCAGAAGCAGGCACACCAAATCACAGTGGATCTGATTCAATCCTCCCTGATGGCAATGGAGACTCATCTAACTAATCCCACTTCTCCTGATTACCTTTCCTTTTCTTCTTACAAACCTAAAAATCTCACCATTTCTATTAGCCTGAAAATAACACCCCTCTGTTCTTCTCTTCCTCCTTCAGCACTCAGTCTCACTTACAATGGGTTTTATTTAATGATTCTCCTCCTTATACTTTCTGTCTCACCAGTTTCCTCTCACACTGATTTGCCTGCTACGCAAAGTTATTCTTATTGGGCTTATGTGCTTTTTCCTCTGCTTATTCGACCTCTCACCTGGATAGATGCTCCTGCAGAAATCTACACTAATGATAGTGTGTGGATGCCTGGAACTACAGATGACCGTTGCCCTGCTCAACCAGGAGAAGAAGGCACTGCATTGAATGTTACCATGGGTTATAAATACCCTCTCTGTGCCTCAGACATGCACCTGGTTGTATCCATCTAGATACTCAAGTCTGGGCTGCTTATCTTCTGGAGAGATCAGCTACAGAGGAACTGGGACATTTGGTCTCTGGCCTCTCTCTTTCACCTTTAAAACAAATGAAAGGGGGAGTAATGGGAGATACCCCATACTTTCAATATAAACCTGCAGGAAAACCATGCCCTAAAAATTTTGAGGTCCCATCTAAAATTTTAATTTGGGAAGATTGTGTTAACTCACATGCAGTAATATTAAAAAATGACTCACATTGTTTAGTAGTAGACTGGGCACCAAAGGGCTATTTGAAAAACAATTGCTCCTCTGGCAGAGGGGAATGCGTGGAGGCTACTTATTTTACTTCTTATTGGGAGAACGAGAATCATCATTCTACTTTGCATAGGAGGTTCACCTCATTCTTTCCCTTAAAATGGGAAGATAAAGGCATTACCCCCACAATGCCTCATATGATACTCCCCATTCTGAGCCCAGAACACCCAAAACTTTGGAAATTGGCTATTGCCATGTCTGGACTGCAAGTATGGGAAGGGGTAACTATTCTGTCTGTTGTTCCCACTACAATCCCCCTCACTCAGTATCAATGTAGATCCAGACATTCTACTTAACTTACCTCCAACCTGACTGTTCCCATACAGAGTTGTGTTAAGCCTCCTTACATGCTGTTACTGGGAAATATCAAAATTTGGAAGAACAATCAAACTGTCCAATGCATTAATTGTCATTTGTACACTTGTATTAACTCCCATTTTGACTCCAGAAAAAGTGTAATATTGGTTCGAGCTCGAGAAAGAATCTGGATTCTGGTAACTTTGCCCAGACCTTGGGAATCCTCCCCCTCAATACATTTAATTAACGAAGTGTTACAGCAAATTCTAAAAAGATCTAAGAGATTTGTTTTCACTTTAATCGCTGTGATCATGGGCTTAATTACAGTCACTGCAATGGCCACCAAGGCCGGAATGGCGTTACATCAATCTATTCAAATGGCTCATTTTATTAATGATTGACAAGCCAATTCCACCCAAATGTGAAGTTCTCAACAAGGCATTGATCAAAAATTGGCTAATCAAATTAATGATTTAAGACAGTCTGTTATTTGGCTTGCAGATCGGGTAGTGAGTCTCAAACATTGCATGTAAATGCAGTGTGATTGGAATACTTCAGATTTCTGTATCACCCCATATTCCTATAACAAGACTGATCATTCATGGGAAATGGTCAAAGGACACCTTCTGGGTAAGGAAGATAATTTATCATTGGACATAATTAATTAAAAAAACAAATTTTTGAAGCCTCTCAAGCTCACTTATCCATCGTGCCTGGAGCTGAGGCATTAGATCAGGTGGCAGAAAATCTTTATGGACTAAACCCCACAACTTGGATTAAGTCTGTTGGGGCCTCCACTCTAGTAAATTTTGGAATTACGTTTCTCTGTTTAATCGGCTTGTTTTTAGTGTGCCGGACCAGTCAAAGAATCCTGCATCAAAATCAAGAGAATGACAAGCCTTCATCGCCATGGCACATTTATATAAAAAGAAAGGGAGAGACGTTGTGGGAAATCAGGGACCCTGAATGGAGGGACCGGCTGAAGCCATGGCAGAAGAACATAAATTGTGAAGATTTCATGGACATTTATTAGTTTCCCAAATTAATAGTTTTATAATTTCTTACACCTGTCTTTACTGCAATCTCTGAACATAAATTGTGAAGATTTCATGGACACTTATCACTTCCCCAATCAATACTCTTGTGATTTCCTATGCCTGTCTTAATTTAATCTCTTAATCCCATCACCTTTATAAGCTGAGGATGAATGTCGCCTCAGGACCCTGTGATTGCGTTAACTGCACAAATTGTTTAAACAATATGAAATCTGGGCATCTTGAAAAAAGAACAGGATAACAGTGATGTTCAAGGAACAAGGGAGATAACCTTAAAGTCTGGCTGCCTGTGGGCCGGGTGGAACAGAGCCGTATTTCTCTTCTTTCAAAAGCAAATAGGAAAAATATTGCTGAATTCTTTTTTTCAGCAAGGAACATCCCTGAGAAAGAGAATGCTTTCCCAAGGGGAGGTCTCTGAAATGTCCGCTTTGGGAACGTCTGTCTTTTACGGCTGTTGATAAGGGATGAAATAAGCCCCGGTCTCCCGTAACACTCCCAGGCTTATTAGGACAAGGAAATTCCTGCCTAATAAATTTTGGTCAGACCGGTTGTCTGCTCTCAAACCCTGTCTCCTGATAAGATGTTATTATTGAAAATGCCTGCCCGAAACTTCATTAGCAATTTTAATTCCACCCTGGTCCTGTGATCTCACCGTGTCTCCATTTGCCTTGTGATATTTTATTACCTTGTGAAGCATGTGATCTCTGTGACCCACACCATATTCGTACACTCCCTCCCCTTTTGAAAATCACTAATAAAAACTTGCTGGTTTTGCGGCTCGGGGGGCATCACGGAACCTGCCGACATGTGATGTCTCCCCTGGACATCCAGCTTTAAAATTTCTCTCTTTTGTACTCCTTCCCTTTATTTCTCAGACCAGCTGACACTTAGGGAAAATAGAAAAGGACCCACGTTGAATATTGGGGACTGGTTTCCCCCAATATAAATAAAATGGTCAGTCACACATAGGGCCTCCTAGAAGGAGCTGCGAACAGAGGCAGTATGGCACAGTAAATGGAGCACAGAATCCTTCATAAAAAACCCTGTCTTTGAATTCAAATTTAACAGGAAAGACTGTGTATTCTTGGAATAACTTATTTAACTTAACCCCTGTTAGCATCAATATTCTCAAGATGATTCATATAACACCCCTCATGGTATTGTCTGGCAATGTGTGATGCTCAATTATTGACAACAGTAACGAAGAGTTTGGTGTTCTCTTGTAGTCTTGAAAAATATTACCTCAATAACACAGGTACTTTGGAGGAAAAGTATTTAAACTCTTTGTGCCCCAGTTCCTTATTTGTTAAAGGGAAAGACTAATGATACGATGTTACAGGCTGTATGATGGATTAAATAATACAATCCATATAAACATAAAACAAATGTGTAATGAATGCTAACTCTTATACACTCAATATGGTATCAATATTATTTCTCCAAAGAACTGACCTAGCCTGGATTCTGATTTCTTTCAGTTTTTTTTTTTTTTTTTTTAGAACAAACAGAACCTATTCTCTAAAGAAAACAGACTATACATCATGAGAGCAGGCCCCTACCTTCCTGACATATGTGTGTGCCAATTAGAGTAGAGCATCCCAGCCTTGCCTCAACTTCACTACTGGGAATTTGGAGGCCTTCCAATGGACTCCTGTGCTGTGGCTAGTACAGATCATACACTGCTCCATACAGAGAGATGCAATGAGATCACTATCTCCCTTTCTACTCACTGATAACCATCACTCACCATATAGAGTCATTTTCTGCTTTCCAGGGTATTCTAAAGGTCTCGATGCTCAAAACACAGTAATGTTAGGGCCATGCTTTGAAGAGAAGCATCTTGTGCTAACATTAAAGATGTACACACATGCAAAGGTTCTGAAAAATTTAGAAAATCATAAGGAAAATACCCAGCATCTGGGTTTTTTGGACCAGCAGGATGATTTAGTATTCCAAGTTTTTATGACTAATATCAGCATTAATTTTTTAGCACTTTTTTTATATATGCTTGTTCTCTCTATCTCTTTCTCTCTCTCTCTCCAACTGAGGTTATAAGAGGGATAGAAAGTCTTAAACAGAAATCGGTTTCCAAGAGCTGAAAGCTTTTGGATTTAAAGCCATGCTTTTAAGCTGGATTTTTTTTTGTTCATTAGCACTCTAGTGCCTGAGGACTTACTGGGTTGGTAATGTCAAGTTCAACAAAGAGGCAACAGTAAAATATGCATTGATTGTAGTGACACATTTTCTTTCCTGGTTTCCTTTTGAATGAGTTCAGAGATTTTTCACTGTGGACATCACTCCATCCTTCTATAGTCCCTGGAGCCTGATCCCCAATTTCAGCTAATTCCTGGGAATATAAGTGTGGATCTCATAGGGCCAAAATTCTGTTTTCACCTGATAAGGAAGCAATGAGTTTTCAAGCCCAAGTTAATCTCAATCCTGAATTTTTTTTTGAAAAGCAAGTAGAATCTGAAGTCACTAAAGGATCTAGAGCTTCTTTCAGACCAAACCCAGTCTCAACTCCCCCCTTAAACTGCTTAACTTCTAGGAAGATGTACACATGTTTATTTTTGTTGGAGGGGGCATGCCAAGGTCCTTCATATACTTGGATCATTTCCAGACCAAAAAAAATTTCCTCTTCAACCTAACTGGTAGGAACAGTGGTTCAGGAAAGATTTAATTATCCAGTGAGACACAATTAATAGATGTTTCAATGGAGTTTGCAATCTTAGTGCCTATTCGAAAAGTTTAATCTTAATGATGGGGAGGTGAGAGATGCTTTGGAAAATGGTCTGGAAAGCAGGATGATTTTTATTTTAAGATTTGGATATGGCTGAGCCTGAGGGCGTGAAAAGCCACTTTTTAATTTGAATAGCACTAACTTTGGGGGAATGCATATTATCCAAGGGTACTTGATTCTGTCACAGATGCTGCAACAGTTTGGGAAAACTATTTGGAAGCCTTAATAAGCACAGTCCCCAAACAACAAAGCTTTAGCCACAGCCCATACATCAAGAAAAAAGACAATAGATGATGCTTTAAAATAATTTATCATTTTGTATGAAAGTAAGAAAATGAGGGAGAATTTTATTATATAACAGTAATGGACACTCTATTTTTTCTTATGCATTCTGTGAGGTCTCCCCCAACTGAGCTGTTTGCTATTTCCCCAAGAGGGCACACATTTCCATTCTGATTTATGGGAGCAGAGACTGTCTTATTCATCTGTGCTGGATATTCTCCATTTGTCCCTCAAGATCTGTTCTCCTCCCTTCTCCACCATGTGCTGCTGGGGGCTAACCACAATTAACTACATCAATTGGGCTCTATCGCTCTTTGGTAAAGTGAGACACCAACAGGCAACTAAGGTATTTAATCTAGCCTCTTCCCTCCTAGGTCAAGATTTGGCAATGGCTACTTTCCTCTCCCAAGGACTTTTGTTCCTATTGAATGACTCTCTCCTATAACTATAGGCCTTCTTGGGAGTCCAGTGGCTGACTCCTCCGGAATCTTCATGACTAGCAGCTATATATGCTCTCTTTTTACTACCACTGCACTCCTTTACCGTCCCTTACTGTTTTTCCTTAACTCTGCCCATATATTATGTTTTTTAAAATATCTCTTCAATTAAAACTCTCTGGGTGGCTGCTGCTTCCTGCCAGGAAACTGATACCATTCTCTACCTGGCACAGTGCCTAGTCCATTATCAGCACTTAATAAATGCTTCCAGCTATTATTTTTTTAATATATGTATATATAAACAACATGGTTAATACCTTTAAATCAGATTTTTTTCGATTTCAAGCAAGGGGCATTTTCATGTTAAGGTATTTTCAGTACTGGAGAATTTCTAGTCTTTGCCTTTATAAACTAAAGTTTAAGGACTGTGATTCTGAAGACTTGAGGACTGATACATGGGTGCATTTCAAAAGTTCAAAGCTTAAAACAGAAAAATCATAAAAATTTCATTTAAACTAACTCGAATAAGCATTAACTTTTTTTTCACTGTGGCAGAATTTATCAAAATAAGGATCTATAACCAGTTGGTTGAGGTCTGAAACTCTTTGCATTTTTATTTTATTAGTTTTGGGGATATATTCACTGTTACAAGATATGACTTTGAGCTTTTAAGACCCACATCTATATGAGCCAAAAAAGAGAGTCAGTATTAATATGTCCAATTCTATGATGTTATTAAGGACTGTGATGAAAGATGTCTTATTCTCAGATGGAGGTTTCACAAACCAGGAAAATTACCTGACTTTACCACTATATTTAGGGAGGAAAACTAGCATATCAAGAATTGTTGCTATGTCATTAGATATTTGTCCTGAAGGGAATGTTCTCCAGAGATAACTGGCATAGTACCATCTGAAGAGCTGTTTAAAATGCAGATTTTCAGGCTCTAATGAGGACCTAGTGAATGCAAACACCTGGGGAGATGACCTTGGTAAATAGAATATTAATTTTATTAACTGCCCCAGGTTATAACACTGCATATCAAGTTTGAGAACCTTTGCAATAATAAGTCACACTGAAAGACCCTTTCTATGGGAGGAATAGATCTTAAAAATTGATCTATTTAAAAATCAAAGAAAGGCTAATGTACAAAATAAAGCTTTTAAAAAACAAATTTGGAATGACAATTTTGATGTAGCTTGCCATGAAATTAGGATCAATTGTCAAATTTAAAGTTGGCTGTTATTTAAATTAGGGGATGCCTAGAATTCCATAACAAATATAATTATTATGATGACATTTTAAGAAATTTAAGGAATGACCCTTGCCTCTCCACTTATTCATTGTAACATAGCACTTTCTACCTCCTGTTAGTTATTTTTCCATGTGCCTAATCTTTGCTGATAGTTTGTGATTTCTTTGAAAGCAGGGATCATGCCTCCTATGTTTTATATTATCTATAGTTCCTAGTTTCTAGCACAGTATCTGACTTATGGTAGGATTATAATAGATATTAATTGAAAGAATGAATGAGTGAAGAACATCATATTTTGAGAATAATATTAAGTGTGTATGTCTGTGTGTGTATAAGATGTTTAAGGAGTAAAAGTTTCAATAACAAAATGCTAAATACTACAACATAGTGTTCTCAGGGAGAATGCCTCATGGTAGCTAGAATAGTAATATAGTTATTAAACTATCTAAGTAAGTAAAAAAGTTAACCTTAAGCTGTACCTTAAAGTTTGTAAGATATTTGACTAAGGGAAGAAGTTCCAACAGGGAACGACATGCAAATGGCTGAAGATGATGGTTCCAGATGAGTCAAATGTTACAATAAAAATGTGGAGAACAATAATGATGGCAAATAAAAAGCTGAATACTTGACAGGATGTAGGATTGAAGAGGAGAAAGAGAGCTGAGCAAGTGAAGGTTGTTTGGGTTTGGAGAGTTCAAAGAACCTAGGAAGTCCTGGCTTGATCCTGTAAGTAACTAGCAACCACTCAAAGCATGTGATGAAGAGGGAAGGGTTGAGATGTAGTTGTCTTTCTTCTCATTGTCTGTGCCATAGGGAATGGATGGTAGAGAGGACATAATGAGTTTTAAATTATCTAGGCCTCATGGTCTCTTTCAGATGAGTACAAATGAATAGGAAAGAAGTAACATTTCTTTGTGTTTCCCTTCTCATCATGAGCCCAGGGCATAAGCAAGGCTGTGGAAAAGCTTGATGTCTAGAAAAATGTAGGTAAGTAGAAGCAATGGGCACCGGCCCTCAGTCTCTACTTCTTTGGATACCTTTACCTTGTAAGTTCCCACAATCTACAACTCTCTATGGGCATAGACTTCTTCAGAGAATGATTTGAAAACCAAAACCAAAACCAAAACTCTTATTATTTGGAAAGAAGCATGGGGAGATTGTCTTTGGCCCAAATAAATACCTCAATTTTATTTTTGTCTGATGAATGAAATGTGTTAAGGTAGTTGCACAGAGTAAAGTGACAGTGTTAAAATCATGACATTTTCCCCTCCATAAGTCCAGTCTTATGAGTAATGGGAGACTCACTAAATGGCAAACACATCCCTTTGCTGGAGAAAAGAAAGAGTGTCACATATTCTGAACAGGAGAACAAGTTATAGAGCAAAATATGCCACAGTGAGGGTGGGTGACATTGTGAACCTAGAAAATAAGTTACCCAAATGGGTTTTCTACCCTAGAGAGATGTGACTGCATTTCTTTCTATCATGCTTACTCTCAGATTTTCACTCGTGTTTCCAATGCACTTGGCAAACTGAGGTCCTAAGTCAGACCTAAGATGGTCTATTAATAAACTGCTTTCAGGATAGATAGCATAACCCACCTGCATACTACACTGTTTGCATATACATCTGACTGATGGGAGCCAATCAAAACACAGGACATCTGTGCTTTTGCTGTAGTGCAAGAGAAAAATATCACTGTTTCCTACGGGAAGACATTAAAGATTAACGTGTCACCAAGTCAAGCTCTGAGTAAAGTTAACTCCAGGGAAAGAGCTTTCTAGGGCTGTGCAGACACTACTTTCTAAATATCTCTGAGGTCACAGAGGTCGTCTAATTCCAATTCCAATGATGTCTAGTGACAGAAGTTTCTCAGCACTCAGGCAATTTAGGGAACAATCAGCCAGACAATATGGGGGTGCTCATGACGAGACGCCTGCAGCTGAGGTAACACCCAGCTGTGATTGTATTTCCCTCTGTTTGGATAACACAATTCGTTCCTATTGCATTCACTGAAATAGACTGCCAAAGAAATGGCCAGTTTGAAGGAACACACACTAAAATAAATAAATAAGCATTCCAGAATTAATATTGAGAACAGTGCAACAGCAAGAACATATTTCCAAATAGGCAGAATAAAACAGCAGTAAGTCGAGAAGAGATTTGATCTTGCTAGGTTGTGGCATCATCTCACATGAACACACAGAACTGTGGGTACAAGGGTGGGGACGAAACTTCCATTGCAAAATTATAAATTTCTGAGTAATGTCAAATGTTAAGCACCATACACTCCCCAAGGCAGCCACCAATCTTTCAGTAGCTTCCATTATTTCTGATTTTCCCCCTCTTTTAAGTTTCTACTTGCACAAGATAAAAATAAGCCAGACTGGTTTAATGTTTAAATCTTAATATTATTACATATAATATATATTCCCCTCAGGAAATGGGTTTGGTTGATAAATGAAGAGCTTTGCTCATTTTTCCTCTTAATGTGGATGTGATTACAGAAAATGCAGGATGAACTTATTGTCATATTTTTGACAGTGATATTAATGATAATTATACAGCTGATTTTTGTAACAGGGTTTCCTTTTTTTTAACATGCCATTTCTGGCACGTCAGAGGTTATGGTAAGGTGGATGCTGTGTGGAATTTAGGCAGATAAAGGGATGAAAAATTCAGGTTTTGAAATGATGTTTTAACTCAAGAATTTCATTTACTTATAAAGCATAACCAATGGCATTAATGTAGGAGAGTCCTTTACCAAAACCTGGCTACCTATATCTTATCTTTAATATTAGGAAAATGATGGAGGAGCCTGAACTTAGGACACCCATCTTTCCTTCTTTGTGTGATTCCCTTAAAATACTCCCATTATTCATGTTTCAGCCATGAGACATAACTTTCAAGTGTTCCACATATGGCAACAATGTCACGCTTTTCCAACATGGAAAGCCTTCTTCCTTGATTTTTCATAGGAAAAAAATCTGGTAGAGAAAATATAAAACGTGAAAAACATGTAGAAATATTGACAGCCTTTCTGCTGCCACTCATATTTTTTCACACATCCTCAGCTAACCCCGCATTTCAATTTATCTGTCAGAAAGTTATCACGTTTTTATGTAAACTGATAGATAGAAAATAAGCTTAGAATTTTACCGAGCTGAATTTGAAAATCTAGAATTTACATTTATGAATTGATATAATCTACCCACAAAGGAGCTGGTTAACAGGTTCATCAAAAACAAAGTAATAACATGAAAAGGGAACTGTAGTGTGGTTTATTTCTTACTCTTTTGAAGTATGACTAAAATATGACTCACAGCCTCCTACCCTACATTCTGTAGAGCTGTTAACTCTTGGAGTTAAGATTCAATAAGAATCTGAGGGAGAAGGGAAGCCGGTAGAAATGTGACAGGTACAGGGTCATTTATTCTCTTATGGCATACTTTATTCTTTACAGGACAGTTACAGATCACAGCTGTTTCATTTGCACCCTTGTTATTAAGGTGATAGGGGCAGACAGTAGGCCTTCAGAAGGAAAGCTTCTATCAAAGGGATCTCAGACAAGTTTCAGTTTATTTGATTCTAACCTAGATTCATTCTTTTCTATGAATAACACCTAAACAATTTTGCCCAATGACATTTTAAAAACAATAAAACCATGTTTTAAAAGCAACACTGATGTGAATTTGGTCACTGAATATAGCAGCTTCCTACTTCAAAAAAAAAAGATTCCTCTTATTATTTTCCTTATTTAATGCTTGAGTTGGTGCTTTCAGTCTCCGTCTAGTACTCCAGTGAGGGTGCACTAGGGCTGAAGACTCTGGTTGGTAATCCAAGACTTCATGCTTCAGCTGCTGAGGTTACCAAAAGGAGCATATAGGGATCAAAGAAACGTATTCATGCTTATTAGATGGAAAGGAACAGCTGATTCCCAGAGCCATAGCTGGGCCACCTCAAGCTGGAGTAATTCATCTAAAAAAAGACATGGTTTGTCAGCCAGGATAAGGGTAATTGTAAAGATAAAAGGGATGCTCATGAGCAAGCAGGGAGGGTATCTACAAAGAACTAGGGGGAACCCAAAAGATAGATGGGAAACAGAAGGGGCTATATAGCTCCACGATGAACAAGTGAGCTATTCCCCACTGTGTCGGGGGGAAATAATGCTGGAGTGAAAAATTCCCCACAACAAAATACAGTGCTGAAAAGAGGATTTCAGTCATTTATTCTGCTCCTGCGTCTCTTCTTCTTTTTTTTTAAATTTAAAAACAATCATGAAACTATAGTTTCTCTGTCTTTTTTTCTGCCCTTTGTTGGGGGGTGGGTGAGGGGTTATTGGCTTTATTTTCCCCAATAAGAAAGCAAAAACTAGTGAATAGGAATTTGAAAAGCATTTGCCCAGATAGCTTGGAATACTTTACCCACACACATATATTTTTACATTTTATTCACTTTTAAAATTTATAGGCAGTAGAAATCATACTTGTTGTGCATTCCCAATAATTTGATAAATGTATATGCTTGAGTAACAATGACAAGAAACAAAATCCAAGAGTTCTGTCAAGCCCACAATTTCCCTTATGCTGTCCATTTAAATTCAATCTCTGTCCATTCACCAGCAAACTCTGATTTTTAAAAAAATTTAAAAATGTTTCTATACATTTACATTTACCAAAATGTCATAAAAATAAAATGATATAGTATGTACATTTTTTTTTAGTCTGGCATCTTTCATTTAGCACAATACATTTGAGATTTATCATGTTGTTGTATATATCAAAAGTTCTTTCTTTTTATAGCTGAATAGTATTCCATTGTATGGATGTATCAGTTTATCCATTCATTAGTTGAAGGAATTTGAGCTATTTCTAATTTTTGGTGATTGTGAAGCAAGCCATTATAAACATGAATATGCAGGTTTGTATGTGAACATAAATTTGTATTTATCTTGGATAAGTACCTGGGAGTGAGATTGCTGTATTGTATGGTAAGTGTATGGGTACTTTTATAAGAAACTAACAAACTATTATCCCATGTGAATGTACCTCTTTAAAAATTCCTACCAGTAATGTCTGAGATTTACAGTTGCTCTGCACCTGCTCCAGAACTTGTTGTTATATTTGTTGCTCTTCTTAAACATTTTAATGGGATTATTTGCCATCTATATGTTTTCCTTGTTGAATGATTTATTAAATTTTTTTTAGTTTTATTATTACTGAGTTTGAGAGTTCTTTGAATATTCTAGATATGAGTACTTTGTGAAATATGTTTTTTGCAAATGTTTTCTCCTAGTCTGTGGCTTAAAATTCTATTCTTTTATTTATTTTATTTATTTTTTATTTTTTTGAGACAGAGTTTATCTCTTATTGCCCAGGCTGGAATGCAATGGCATAATCTTGGCTCATTGCTACCTCCGCCTCCTGGGTTCAAGCAGTTCTCCTGCCTCAGCCTCCCGAGGAGCTGGGATTACAGGCGCTCGCCACCACATCTGGCTAATTTTTTTTTTTTTTTGTATTTTTAATAGAGACGGGGTTTCACCGTCTTGGCCAAGCTAGTTTGGAACTCCTGGCCTCAGGTGGTACGCCCGTCTCGGCTTCCCAAAGTGCTGGGATTACAGGCATGAGCCACCGCGCCTGGCCAAAAATTTTATTCTTTTAACAGTGTCTTTCAGAAGCAGAGATTCTTACTTTCAGTGAGATAGACTTTACTAATATTTTTCTTAATGGATTTTGCTTTGTGTCATATCTAAGAAATCTGCCTAGCCCAAGGTAGCAAAAATTTTCTACCTTGTTTTTCCCTAGAAGTTTTATAGTTTTAAGGTTTATATTTAGTCGTATGATCCATTTTGTGTTCACTTGTGCAAGGTATACATTGAGGCTTATTTATTCATTTACTTTTGTATACGGATATCCAAAACATATAAAAGTCTAGCACATGCATTATTTATAGTATATAATACTTGCTAATGATAATAAATGACTATGTTGTTAGTTAACATATTTACTGCACTATATATTGTATCTTTATTTTACAATATACTCCTTCTACTTATAAAAATAGGTTAACTATAAAATAGCCTCAGGCAGGTCATTTAGGAGCTATTTTAGAAAAAGGCATCGTTATCACAGGAGATAACAGCTCCATGTGTGTCATTGCCCCTGAAGACCTCTCGGTGAGACAAGATGTGGAGGTGAAAGACAGTGACACTGATGATCCTGACCCTGTGTACACCTAGGCTAATGTGTGTGTTCTTGTCTTACTTTTTAGTAATACAGTTTAAGAAGTAAAAAAAAAAAATTAAATAGAAGAAAGCTTATAAAGTACAGAGAAAGTATTTCTGTACAACAGCTGTAAAATGTTTTTGCGTTTTAATCTAATTGTTATTATAAAAAGTCAAATAGTTAAAAAATAAAAAAGTTTATAAACTTTTATTTAAAAAATTTAATTTAGAAAATTACAGTAAGCTAGTGTTATTATCAAAGAAAAATATTTTCTATAAATTTAGTGTAGCCTAAGTGTACAACTATTTATAAAGTCTACAGTAGAGCACAGTAATGTCTTAGGCCTTCATATCCACTCACTACTCACTCACTGACTCACCCAGAGCAACATCCAGTCCTGCAACCTCCATTCATAGTAAGTATACTACACATGCCTACCGTTTTTTATCTGTTATATCATATTTTTACTGTACCTTTCTATGTTTAGATACACAAATCCTTGCCATTGTGTTGCAGTTGTCTGTAATATTCAGTACAGTAATATCCTGGACAGGTTTGTAGCCTAGGAGCAATAAGCTATATCATATAGCCTAGGTCTGTAGTAGGCTAAACCATCTAGGTTTGTGTAAGTACAATCTATGACATTTGCACAACAAAAATGTCTAATAAAACATTTCTCACATATGCAAAAGATTATTATAAATTTGCTAAGGATACATTAGAAAAATATCCTGTTATTTAGGTATTTACATGGGCTTTCCTGTATCTCTTTTTATATTCTGATAAGTAAGGGTTGAAATGAGGCAGCAAAACCACATCTTTGCAATAGAGGTAAAGCTAGTTAGGTTTATCTGAACCAAATATCACTATTTTCTGATTTAGGTTCATCAACTTACTTTTTCCCACCTAAAAATTGTATGACAGTAGTCATTTCGTGTATTTTTGAAGTTAATACTCACAGTAAGAATTCATCTTTGCAGAGCTGCTTTTTTCAGCCAGCTGACTGACCACAACGCAAGTGAAGACATTGCATGGTATCTATCTACTAGGCCATTGGTCAGCTTCCATAATTACTAATTGATCAGTAACCAGCAAATTGAAACTATAGGCATTTGGTTCAACATTTTTATTTCACAGTGTCAAATTTTTATAAAAGGAATTATGAATTTAAAACTCTGCAGTGGAAAAACTTATTTTCTTTGCATCTAATATGTGCATATTAATTTTAAAAGACAAAATATTGTCAGATTTATGAAATTACCATATAACCCAACTTTCTGCGGAGCAGACAGATGATAGACAATGACAAGCCAGAAGGTAACTCTAGGATGACCCTTTCAAAGTGGTAGCTATAATTGAATTTTCACTGATGAACACCTCCAACCTCCAACAGTCTATTGCTATCGCTGAGGAAACACGTTCATTCATCTCCTTACTTTCCAGCCTTCTGAATCTAGTCCTTTCCCTTTCCTGTAAATATACATAAACTGTGTTTAGGTGGTCTAGACAGATCCCAGGAAAGGGCAGAGTAAATGTTCATGAGAATGTAAATTGTGGTTGTTTATTAAGAAATAAAATTCTGTTGAAAAAATTTAAGAAAAGAATGTGGATGTTGTCTAGATAGGGTGAATATATACCTCATTGTCCAAACTCAGACAATTTTGCAAGTAAAAGGGGGTATGATTAATTACAATTAGATAACAGGTATAAATTGAAAGTGTTCCATGCAAAATGAAACATCTGTCACCATTTTTAGGACACCTGATAAAATAGAAAACAGTGGCTATTGAGTAGAGATCCTGAGAGGGAGAAACAAAACAGTCAAGAAAAAAGACAAAAAAAACCTTTTCAACTTTCTGTAAGCTAATTAACCTTATCTAGAAATTCATAATGTGGTATACAGAGTCTCTTAGATAAAAAATTTGCATTCAACAAGTTATTTTATTACTTTATTGAGAAGAGGGGAAAAAGATTCTCGTTGTGTGTATTCATGATATCCCTGCCTTATTTGTTATTCCACTCATTCATTTGATCATTTCAGAAGTATTTATTGAAGTTCTTAACTATGTGCCAGGACTGAGTAAGGTGCTGGCAATGGCAAATTGATTAATTCAAATACAGACTCTGTCTTAGTAGAGATTATTCTCTTTAAGGGTTCAAATAAGGGTTGAAAACAATTAATCAGTCAAATAATTTTTGGTAAAGTTTAAAACTAAGGGAGCATATAGTAATGGCACCTACTAAGACTTCAATATCTCTGGCAAGGTTTCTCTGACAAAATGACATTTAATCTGAGACCTGGAAGATGAATAAAATTTAGCCATATAATATCCTGGAGGGGGCAGAGTATACAGGCAGGAGAATGAGTATGTGCTAAGACCCCAAAGAGACACAGCATGGCAATTCAAGTAACTGCAAAAAATTCAGTATAACTAGAGCTTGTTTTTTTTTGAAAAATAGTGAAAGATCAAGCTGGTAAGCAAAGCCAGACCATAAAAAGCTAGGCAAGCCATGTTCAATAAATTTGACTTAATCCTAAAGGACTGGGAAGACACTGAAGAATTTTAAGCAATGAAGTGACATCAGATAATTATGTTACAAAAAGGAGTGCTGTTTCGGTTTGACAGCTGAATGGTGGGGTACAAACAGGAGAATAATTAGGTGATTTTTGAAGTAATCATAGAAGTGATTGTAGTAGGATGCAAAATTTGATTCAGGAGTATTTAGGTAATCCCACTGAATTGCACACTTACAAATAGTTATAATTGCAAAGCTTATGTTATATATATTTTACAAAAATAAAAAGAAATATTTAGTAAATCAGATCTAGAGGACTTGTTGAGATTTTAGTTGTAGGAACTGTGGGGCTTATTGAGAAGGACACACAAATCTAAGGTAGTGAGTTGTTGATGGGGCTATACTTTGAAATACGGAAAATCAGAGAAGAAGCAAAGTTCAAGATTTGAAAACAGTTGAAGACAGCTCTAGTTTGTTGTATGACACTTCTTACTTTAATTTTATTTATTTCAGTTTAGTTCATAATTGAGGAACTACTTGAATAATTCTCTAAAAACATTTAAAAAGTCAAAGTTGTATTATTCACTTCAACTTAGCTTTCATCATGTCGATCACAGTAATAGGCTGCAAATTTTTTGCCATTACAAAGACTATCAATAAGGTCAAATGTATTCATGAATAATGACCTTGAATGTGAGGTAAGCAATGAAGGTGAGTGAGACTTCCAAAATAATTCAATTTTCATGGTAGCATAGAGAATGCAACCTCAATAAATTATAAAATATGCCAACGTTGGAAATTAGATTATTGTGGCAAGCTGATAATACTCATACACTCCCCCATCCATGTAATATTTTAAAAAATAACAGAAAATGGCAGATATCCATGGAATGTTGGTAAACAAGAACTGGTAGGATAAGTGGCTCATAAATTTAGAAAAATTTCTAGAAGCTGGGAAAAAAGGAAGAAGTTGATTAATAAAAGAGGAAACATCAAATATGAACTGAAAATAATTCCAGAGAAATAAAAACAAATACTGAAACCAAAATCAAATTAGAAATAAAATAATGGAGAAGATTCTTCAAGACAGTTATCAGAGTAATTAAAGAAATGCACTCTGAACAGACGAAGTGTAAAACCTTCTTGTTCCATCCTACACAGCAGTTCAGTTCATATTCTGAACCTTGCTTCTCATTATAAATACTCAGTTTTTAAAAACACTGATGCTCGGGCCTCTCTCCTGGAAATTCTGAGTTAGGTGTTTTGAATTGAAGTATGAGTATTGAAATTTCCTAAAAGTTTCCTGGTTGGTTCCTATGTGCAGTCAATGTTCACACCACTGCACTAAAAAGAATAAATTACTTTTCTCTTTTCTTGCTTTTAATTTTTTACACACTCATTTGTTTTTGTTTCTTATCTCTTTTTTCAGTTATTTTTTCATTAACCATAAAATGCATGTGTGTGTGCACGCACGTGTGTGCACCTGTGTATGGATATGTATGTGTCCCCTAACATTATTGCCCAGAGGTGCAATGGTGTCAAGTAAACACTTCTTTTTCAAAACACAAACATCTCACTGAAACTGGAATTTTTGGAGGGCTACAGAATGATTGGAACACGCAAAGCATAAGACTCTTAATTTATGATTAAGAGTCTTGCCCAGGCTACCAAAAATGGACTTAGTTCCTAAAATAACTAGCCAGTTCATCAACAGAATTTGGAAAAACTTCTAGAAGAAATAAATGGGTAATGACTCACCACTTGTGCCTATCTATCCCCTAAATCTTTCCGTTTAGTACTGTCTGATTAAACATTTGCAAATTATTAAGTCCTCAATTTTAGACACTTAATCGGGTAAAAGTGCAGGTGTTGATTCTGAGACAAAACTTGACATTTATTTCCTATAAGTGATATTGAAAGTGAAAATAAAGCAAAGTCTAATTTCAAATAGGACCAACAATAAGAATGCAGTTGTTTATTCTCTGAGAATTTTTTTTCTTCAACTTTTAAGTTTGGGGTGCACGCACAGGATGTGTAGGTTTGTTACATACGTAAACGTGTGCCAAGGTTGTTTGCTGCACAGATCATCCCATCACCTGGGTATTAAGCCCAGCATCCACTAGCTATTCTTCCTTATGGTCTCCCTCCCCCAACCCCTGACAGGCCCCAGTGTGTGTTGTTTCCCCTTACCCACGTGTTCATGTGTTCTCATCATCCAGAATTAACCCAAATGCCCATCAGTTATAGACTGGATAAAGAAACTGTGGTACATATACACCATGGAATACTATGCAGCCATAAAAAGGAACACAGTCATGTCCTTTGCAGAGACATGGATGGAGTGGGAAGCCATTATCCTCAGCAAACTAATGCAGGAACAGAAAACCAAATAAATCGTTTTTCTAGAGAAGACTCTTATTCATGTAGAATTAGAGAAGAGTAGAACAAGAGGTAACTCAGAATCCCCCCAAATAAACATACAGAGGAGGAATAAATAGATAGACAGGACTTTAAGGAGGTAAATTCACTTAATACCTTATACATCAGAGGAAAAGGCTCCTTATTTTAGCGAATGAAGGTCTTCATTATGTCCCCTACTTAGAACCTTGGCCTGATTGTTGCTACTTCTTGCCTTTACACACCAGGCCTGCAGTTACCCCTACAGGAGGGGAAGCAGACACATGCAGCTGCAAAGAAAATCCACATTGGTTGTTTCTTATCGGCAACATAACCTTCTTTTCCTCTAATGTATTTTTTTAAAACTTTGGTGCTCATGTTGTACATTAGATCTCTAAACTTGTTCAACCTACATATGTGCTATTTTGTCCTTTGACCTACATCTTCCTATTTCCTCCCACCAACACCGGCCCATAGTAACCACTGTTTCATTTTTTATCTCTATGTATTTAAGCTCATTTAAAAAATATCCCACATATAAGTGAGATCATACAATATATTTTTGCTGGATCTGGCTTATTTCCCTTAGCATAATCTCCTCCAGGTCCACCCATGTTGTGGAAAATGGTAGAATCTCCTTTTGTAATTAAAGCTGAATAGTATTCCATTGTGTATATATATATGTGTGTGTGTGTGCGTGTGTGTGTGATTCATATATGTGTGTATGTGTGTGAGACAATATTCCATTATAATATTCCATTGTGTATATATACATAGTCTACATAAACAATGGAATATTATAATGAAATATGATTATATATATTTACACCACACTTTCTTTATCCATTTGTCCATCAATTGACATTTAGGTAGTTTTCATATCTTGGTTATTGTGAATAATGCTGCAATGAACATGGGAGTGCACATATCTTTATGAGGTGGTGATTTCATCTCTTTTGGGTATATACACAGAAGAGAGATTGTTGGTTGTATGGTAGTTCTTTTTTTTTTTTTATTATACTCTAAGTTTTAGGGTACATGTGCACATTGTGCAGGTTAGTTACATATGTATACATGTGCCATGCTGGTGCGCTGCACCCACTAATGTGTCATCTAGCATTAGGTATATCTCCCAATGCTATCCCTCCCCCCTCCCCCGACCCCACCACAGTCCCCAGAGTGTGATATTCCCCTTCCTGTGTCCATGTGATCTCATTGTTCAATTCCCACCTATGAGTGAGAATATGCGGTGTTTGGTTTTTTGTTCTTGCGATAGTTTACTGAGAATGATGGTTTCCAATTTCATCCATGTCCCTACAAAGGATATGAACTCATCATTTTTTATGGCTGCATAGTATTCCATGGTGTACATGTGCCACATTTTCTTAATCCAGTCTATCATTGTTGGACATTTGGGTTGGTTCCAAGTCTTTGCTATTGTGAATAGTGCCGCAATAAACATACGTGTGCATGTATCTTTATAGCAGCATGATTTATAGTCCTTTGGGTATATACCCAGTAATGGGATGGCTGGGTCAAATGGTATTTCTAGTTCTAGATCCCTGAGGAATCGCCACACTGACTTCCACAATGGTTGAACTAGTTTACAGTCCCACCAACAGTGTAAAAGTGTTCCTATTTCTCCACATCCTCTCCAGCACCTGTTGTTTCCTGACTTTTTAATGATTGCCATTCTAACTGGTGTGAGATGATATCTCATAGTGGTTTTGATTTGCATTTCTCTGATGGCCAGTGATGATGAGCATTTCTTCATGTGTTTTTTGGCTGCATAAATGTCTTCTTTTGGAACAGAACAGAGCCCTCAGAAATAATGCCGCATATCTACAACTATCTGATCTTTGACAAACCTGAGAAAAACAAGCAATGGGGAAAGGATTCCCTATTTAATAAATGGTGCTGGGAAAACTGGCTAGCCATATGTAGAAAGCTGAAACTGGATCCCTTCCTTACACCTTATACAAAAATCAATTCAAGATGGATTAAAGATTTAAACGTTAGACCTAAAACCATAAAAACCCTAGAAGAAAACCTAGGCATTACCATTCAGGACATAGGCGTGGGCAAGGACTTCATGTCCAAAACACCAAAAGCAATGGCAACAAAAGCCAAAATTGACAAATGGGATCTAATTAAACTAAAGAGCTTCTGCACAGCAAAAGAAACTACCATCAGAGTGAACAGGCAACCTACAACATGGGAGAAAATTTTCGCAACCTACTCATCTGACAAAGGGCTAATATCCAGAATCTACAATGAACTCAAACAAATTTACAAGAAAAAAACAAACAACCCCATCAAAAAGTGGGCGAAGGTTGTATGGTAGTTCTATTTTTAATTTCTTTAGAACCCTCCATAATGTTTTTCATTGTCTTTAATTTATAAAAATTAATTGAAAATCATGACTCACTTGGCAAGGAGGAAAACTGACAGCATTAAAAAGAAATATCTTGAAAGCAAAAAGGGGAAAAAAGAAAACTCCCTCTGAAACAGTAAATTTAGAATTAGAATGGAAATTCTAAGTGGCTAATTAGTACCCTAAGAGAGATTCTAAGATATTAAATTGATACAGGAGCAAGTTGCAATAAAAAATGAACAAAAATTAAGAAGGCTCCCATAAAATAATTATGTGCATGTATATGATGATAAGAATGAAGATCTGATCAATAGAATGGACACAGCTGAAAATTCGTTAGGAATATGATGGTAAGAAGAAAACCCTCATTACATGACTAAAATGGAAGAAGCATGTTTTAGTCCATTTTCTGTTGCTTATAACAAAATAACCGAAACTGGGTAATTTATAAAGAAAATGAATTTATTTATTACAGTTTTGGAGGTTGAGAAGTCCAGAGTTGAGGGGCCACATCTGATGACAGCCATCTCGCTGGGGGGTAATCTTTGCAGACTCTCTAGACAGCTCAGGGCATCACATGGTGAGGAGACTGAGCATTCTTGCTCAGGTCTTTCTTCCCTTTCTTATAAAGCCACTAGTTTCACACCTTCATGATGCATTAATTCATTAATCCATGAATAGATGATTTCATTTATGAGGGCAGATCCCTCACAACCTAATTATCTGTTAAAGACCCCACCTTTCAATACTACCATTTTGGGGATTAAATTTTAATATGAGCTTTGGAGGGGACTAATATTCAACCATAGCAAGGCATAAAAACATGAAAAAAGTAAAACAACAAAAGTCTACAGACATAGAGAATTAGCGTTTGTCTTCTAGAATACATCTAAAGGGAATTCCAGAATATTAAAACTACACCAAGTTTAAACAAAAGAAAAGAAATAAGAAGTGCTCTAATAATAAATAAGAGAAACACATTTACAAGAGTTGGATAAAGACAAATATCTCCAGGGTTTAAATGTCAAAAGATGAATGTAAAAAGATCCAGCACTAGTGACCTAATCTAGCAAAATTTCAGAATTAAAAGAAACAAAGAGAAATTCTATAAGCATGGGTCTGGGTCGGGGTAGGAAAGAACCTATCTATAAAATTGCAAATATATGTTTGGGACCTGATTTTTCATCATTGACAGCAGAAGTTAGAAGGCAATGATCTGACATCTTCAAAGTTTGTGATAAGATGATTTGGCATCTGAATTCTACATCAAATCAACTAAGCAAAATTATGACATTTTTCATGAGATAAATATTTAAAAATGTTAATACATATACGGCTTAGCTGTATGAATTAGCCAAAGCTTATACACATTCACCAAATGAATAAAAATATAGGAACATTGTATATTTCCAGGAATTTATCCATCTCCTCTAGGTTTTCTAATTTGTGCACATACAGTTGTTCATAGTATCCTTGAATGACCTTTTATATTTCTGTGGTATCAGTTGTGATATCTCACATTTCATTTCTAATTGAGCTTATCTGAATCTTCTCTCTCCTTTTCTTGGTTAATTTCACTAATGGTCTATTGGTTTTGTTTTTTCAAAGAACTATTTGTTTCATTTATCTTTTGTATTTCTTTGTTTCAATTTCATTTAGTTCTGCTCGATCTTTGTTATTTCTTTCTTCTGCCTGGTTTGGGTTTGGTTTGTTCTTGTTTCTCTAGTTCCTTGTTTGAGGTTAGATGGCCTATTTGTGCTCTTTCAGAGTTTTTGATGTAGGCATTTAATGCTATAGACTTTCCTCCTAGCACCGTTTTTGCTGTATCCCAGAGGTTTTGATAGGTTGTGTCATTATTATCATTCAGTTCAAAGAATTTTTTAAATTTCCATCTTAATTTCATTGTTGACCCAAAGATCATTCAGGAGCAGATTGTTTAATTTCCATGTATATGTATAGTTTTGAGGGTTCCTTTTTTAGTTAATTTCCAATTTTATTCCACTGTGGTCTGAGAGAGTACTTGACCAAAAGAAATAGAAACTCTGAACAGACAAATAACAAGTAGTGATATTGAAACAGTAATAAAAAATTTGCGAACAACAAAAAGTCCAGGACCAGATGGATTCACAGAAGAATTCTATCAGACATTCAAAGAAGAATTGGTACCAATACTACTGAAACTATTCCACAAGATAGAGAAAGAAGGAATCCTCCCTAAATCATTCTATGAAGCCAGTATTACCCTAATACCAAACCCAGGAAAAGACATAACAAAAAAAGAAAACCACAGAACAATATTCCTGATGAACACAGGTACAAATATCCTCAAAAAATACTAGCTAATAGAATCCAACAGCACGTCAAAAAGATAATCCTCCATAATCAAGCGTGTTTCATACCAGGGATGCAGTCATGGTTTAACATACACAAGTCAATAAATGTACACAAGTCAATAAATGTGATACACCACATAAACAGAATTAAAAACTATCACATGATCACCTCAATAGATGTAGAAAAAACATTTGACAAAATCCAGTATCCCTTTATGATTAAAACCTTCAGCAAAATCAGCACAGAAAGAACATACCTTAAGATAATAAAAGCCATCTATGACAAGCCCACAGCCAACATTATACTAAATGGAGAAAAGATGAAAGCATTCCCCCTGAGAACTGAAACAAGTAAAGGAGGCCCACTTTCAGCACTTCTATTCAACATAGTACTGGAATTCCTAGTCAGAGAAATTGGACAAGAGAAAGAAATAAAGGACATCAAAATTGGTAAAGAGGAAGTCAAACTGTCGCTGTTCACCAATGCTATGATTGTAGACTGAAAACCTCATCCAAAAAGCTGCTGGACCTGATAAATAAATTCAGTAGAGTTTCAGGATGCAAAATCAATGTACACAAATCAGTAGCACTTCTATACACAAACAGTAACCAAGCTGAGAATCAAATCAAGAACTCAACCCCTTTTACCACAGCTGCAAAATAAATAAAATACTTAGGACTACACCTACCCAAGAAGGTGAAAGATCTCTACAAGAAAAACTACAAAACACTGCTGAAAGAAATCATAGATGACACAAACAAATGGAAACACATCCCATGCTCATGGATGGGTAGAATCAATATTGTGAAAATGACCATACTGCCAAAAGCAATCTATACATTTGATGCAATTCCCATCAAAATATCATCATTATTCTTCCTAGAACTAGAAAAAAACATTCCTAACATTCATATGTTACCAAAAAAGAGACTGCATAGCCAAAGTAAGACTAAGCAAGAAGAACAAATCTGGAGGCTTCACATTACCTGACTTCAAACTACATTAGAAGGCTATAGTTACCAAAACAGCATGGTACTTGTATAAAAGCAGGGACATAGACCAATGGAATATTATAGAGAAATAAAGCCAAGTACTTAACAGCCAACTGATCTTCGACAAAGCAAACAAAAATATGAAGTGGGGAAAGGACTCCCTATTCAACAAATGGTGCTGGGATAATTGGCAAGCCACATGCAGAAGAATGAAACTAGATCCTCACCTCTCACCTTGTACAAAAATCAACTCAGGATGGATGAAAGACTTAAATCTAAGACCTGAAACCATAAATTCTAGAAGATAACAGTGGAAAAAGCGTTCTAGACATTGCCTTAGGCAAAGAATTCATGACCAATAACCCAGAAGCAAATGCAACAAAAATAAAAGTAAATAGATGAGACCTAATGAAACTTAAAAGCTTCTGCACAGCAAAAGAAATAATTAGCAAAGTAAACAGATAACCCACAAAGTGGGAGAAAATATTCTCAAATAATCATCGCAAATATGCATCTGACAAAGGACTAATAGTCAGAATTTATAAGGAAATCAAAAAATCAGCAAGAAAAAAACAATCTCAGCAAAAAGTGGGCTAAGGACATGAACAGACAATTCTCAAAAGAAGATATGCAAACCACCAACAAAGATATGAAAAAAGGCTCAACATCATTAATTATCAGGAAAATGCAAATCAAAACCACAATGTGATACAACCTTACTGCTATAAGAATGGCCATAACTAAAAACTCAAAAAATAATAGTTGTTAGGGTGGATGTGGTGAAAAGGGAACACTTTTACACTGCTGGTGGGAATGTAAACTAGTACAACTACTATGGAAGACAGTATGGAGACTCCTTAAAGACCTAAAGGTAGAACTACCATTTGATCCAGCAATCCCACTACTGGGTATCTCTTAGATATTAAGAGATATTAACAGATATTACTATGTCATAGAACTGTTAATCTTGCATAGTAAACTTTTTGTTGTTGTTTGAAACAGAGTCTCACTCTGTCGCCAGGTTGGAGTGCAGTGGCGCGATCTTGGCTCACCTCAACCTCCACCTCCCGGGTTCAAGCGATTCTCCTGGCTCAGCCCCCCGAGTAGCTGGGACTACAGCTGCCTGCCACCAAGCCCAGCTACTTTTTGTATTTTTAGTAGAGACAGAGTTTCACCATATTGGCCAGACTGGTCTCAAACTCCTGACCTTGTAATCCACCCGCCTTGGCCTCTCAAAGTGCTGAGATTACAGGCGTGAGCCACTGTGCCCGGCCCAGTAACATTAATTACTGATATATAGTAATTATAGTATAACTAATAGTATAAATTATAGTGACATAGTAATCCATTAAGTAATTGTCTATATTTTTTCATAATTTATAATGAAAATGTGTTAATTTAGATGAAACAGAGTACAATGGAATAATATAAGTAATTACTAGAAGAAGAAAATAGGACACAAGAATTTCAACACAGAGCTTAAAAGGGAATAAATTAATATTGATAAATATAAAAGAATCACAACATGTTTACTATTGCTTACAGAAAGAAAGTGGATAGTGCAATACGGATCTCATACAAGATAGAGTTGATGATAAATGCAGTAAGTGGACATAATGGCTTATTTCATATTGTCAAAAATTGTAGTCCAAGAGAACACAGTAGTCCTGAATATTATTGTCCTTAATAATCTGGCTTTAACAAAACTTTAGGTAAAATATGAATAATTATTGTAAGAAAAAATTAACCAACTTGCCATCTTAGTAGGATATTCATTAAAATTGATGGACCAAGTAGACCAAAAATAAATAATGATATGGAAGATGTAAATAACATAAGTCAAAAGGGTGAGTACACAGAATAAATAGTTTTCAAACATGCTTGGAAAAATTATGTACAATAACTCAAAACAATATTTAAAAATTATTTTAAAAAGGGAAGAAAGGAAAAACCTCTATAAGTTACATTCACCCAATCTAATGCAATGAAAATGAAAAATGCAACAAGATAGATTTTAATTCCAAACTACTTTTTATGAAGTTTAATAATAATAAAGCATTGATAATATAAATACGATTAAGTCTATAATAGAAATTAATACAGAAATGAGTAAAAGTGTACCTCATTTCAAAATTTTGGAAGGAGGTCAAATAGGAATTCATGAAAAAAATTTACAGCCTCAAGCACAAGTATTTTTTATGTATAACTTCTAACGTTAAAATATTTTTCAAATATATAAAAATATATAAATTAGAATTAAAAAGAAGAAAAGTAAGATAGTAGAAATATAAATAAACGAATTATTAAAAATGGATGAAGAAACCAAATGTTGCTTTTTGAAAAGATCAATAAAATAGTTTTATTATGTTTATTTTGAGATCAGGAATGAACAGAGAAAAATGTGTGTGATAAAGACATAAAAAGAGTGAGCACATGCGTAGAATGATAAATGACAGCCAAATGTATGGAAGATACTATAAAAATTTTTTAAAAATATTTACCTTTATCATATCAAAGCATGTGAAAATTTAGGGAAAAATATTTTATTCTGAAATAATATAAATCACTCAAATATAGGTCAAAATTATAGAAAACATGAATATATAAGAAACCAGGCTTAAAAACTTTAAGACTTAAAGATGGCAAGACCTGAAGCCATAAAATTCCTTGAAGAAAACACACACACAAAAATTTCTTGACATTGGTCTGGGCAATTCTGTTTTGGATATAGCACCAAAAGCACAGACAACAAAAGGTAAAATAAACAAATGAGACTACATCAAACTAAAAAGTTTGATTCAAAGTAAACAACAAAACAAAAGGCAAGTTATGGAATAGGAGAAAATATCTGCAAACTGTATATCTGCTAAGGGGTTAATATTCAAAATCTGTAATAGACTCATGCAATTCAATAGCAAAAATCAAACAACATGTAACCCAGTTAAAAATGTGCAAACTTCTAATATATACTAAAATATTTTAGTGTTTTGGATATATTTTAGATATTTAATGTTTTTAGTGCAAAGGACCTCAATAGACCTTTTTCCAAAGAAGACATTCAACACGTGGGCAATAGGAATGTGAAAAGGCATGTGACGTCACTATTTATCAGAGAAATTCAAGTCAACACGACAATGAGATACCTCACACCTTTTAGAATGGCTATTATCAAAAAGACAAGAGATAGCAAGTGTTGGTCAGGGTGTGGAGAAAAGGGAACCCTTTGTACACTGTTGGTGAGAATGTAAATTGGTACACACATTAAGGAAAACAGTATGGAGGGTTCTAAAAAAAAAATTAAAAGTAACCACCACACAACCCAGCAATCCCAATTCTGAATATATATCTAAAGGATATGAATTCAATATTTCAAAGAGATATTTGCATCTCTGTGTTCACTGGAGCATTATTCACAATAACTAATATATGAAAAACTCCAAGTGTCAATTGATAGATGAATGGGTAAAGAAAATGTAACACATACACACACTCACACATACACAATGGAAAGAAGACAAGGAAGAAAATCCTGCCATTTGTGACCATGTGAATGAACCTGGAGGACATTATGTTATGTGAAATAAGCAAGATACAGAAAGACAAATACTATATGATATCACTTATGTGGAATCTAAAAGAGTAACCCTCATAGAAGCAGAAACTGTAGTGGTGGTTGCCATGGGCTGGAAGATAGGAGAAATGGGAAGATGTTGGTCAAAGGATCCCTACAAACTTTCAGTTATAAGATGAATAAGTTCTGGGGATCTAATGTACAACATGGTAACTATAGTTAATAATAAAGAATTGAATTAACTTGAATTAAATTTCAAGTTAATAAAACTGGACATTTGCTTAGACAGTAGATCTTATGAATCCACAGCACATCTTATGTACCCTCAGCGCACACACACACACACACACACACACAGAAAATGATAATCATGTGAAGTGATGGATGTAGTAAGCATAATCATTGTGGTAATCATTTCAAAATGTATGTGTATATCAAATCATTATGTTGTATGCCTTGAATATATAACATTTTTATTATCTATTTTACCTCAATAAAGCTGGGGAAAAGAAGCAGCAACTAGGCAATAAATAAAAAGCTGATAAAATCTCTACCCTAGGCCGGGCGCAGTGGCTCACGCCTGTAATCCCAGCACTTTGGGAGGCCGAGACGGGCGGATCATCTGAGGTCAGGAGTTCCAGACCAGCCTGACCAACATGGAGAAACCTCGTGTCCACTAAAAATACAAAATTAGCAAGGCATGCTGGTGCATGCCTGTAATCCCATCTACTCGGGAGGCTGAGGCAGGAGAATTGCTTGAACCCAGGAGACAGAGGTTGCGGTGAGCCGAGATGTGCCATTGCACTCCAGCCTGTGCAACAAGAGTGAAACTCTGTCTCCAGTATATATATATATGTATATGTATATATGTGTGTATATATATATGTGTGTATATATATGTGTGTGTGTGTATATATATATATATATATATATATACCCTAAATGGGCATCAAACCCAGACAGTGTTTATAGGTAAGTCTTACTAATTCTTTAATGAAGGTGACATATAAATTATTTCCAGAGCATAGCAAAAGAGACTGACATTTTATGCATTCATTCTTTGACTGAAAAAACAAATTGATAAAGACAGAGTACACACACAAAACACACATAAATACAAATACACTCAAACCTATACATGAGTTAGACAATAAGAATAAAGGCAAATATTCCATATAAAATATGAACACACTGAATCTTCTCTCTATTAAAATAAAAATTATTCTTAGAATACAGATTGGCTAAATATTGAGAAATCCATCAATGTACATTATTACATTTTGAAACTAAAAGAGGGGAAAATAAATTCTGAAAAAACACTGAAAAATTTCCTATTTCTAGATTTCAAAAAAGTTAGGATAAATTGAGAATAAAAGAAACTATTAATTTGATCAATTAAATCTACCAGAAAACTACATTAAGTAATACAATCATATTTTTCAACATTAGCAAATGCTTCACAATAAAAATTAGGAAGAAAAGAAAGCTTCTATTACTAAATATTACATAGACAATCCATGAAAATAAAATAAAATAAGGAAAATAAAGGAGCATACATGTTAGAACGGAAGAGAAAAAACTATCACATTTTTCAGATTACATGATTTTGTATTTAAAAGAATTTTAAAAAGCAGTTTCAATGCTTATGAAAATGTATTAGATGCCTGTACTACAAGCTAAATATACAGATCATCTTTCTGTACATACCAGTCACAATAATTATATTAAAATGTAACTTTGGATTAAGTAATAACTATGATATATAGTAAGAATAAATTGACCAAATGCTGTGAAAGATCTCTATAGTCATATGGAGAAAACGTCAATGTTGAGTGGAAAGGAAGAATATAAAGTTCTATCTGGGAGACCTGTTGAAAGTGGGCTTATCCCACTATTAGGAGCATAGCAAAATTCAAGCCCCTTGGCTTAAACGTCTGCAAACATAATGATTCTTAATCAAAAGGTATGGAAATGAAGGAAAAATGAGAAGACTCAATATGATATAATTTGTCAAATCTCCTTATATCAGTTTATATCAACTCTAATTTTAGTAAAACAGTATTTCATACAACCTGGAAGGTTTTTAAAAATATCTTGAAGAAAGATTGTATGATTTTAACCCCACAAAAATTTTTAAATGAAAAAGAATGAAGGTTTTCATATGACGTATAAAACAATATTAAAAAGAACTATCATTAAAACAGTGTAATTGTACTAAATGTACAAAATAAACCAATGAAACACAGTAAAAAATTCAGATACAAATATTATATATATTATATATACATTATATATACTTTATATATACATTATATATACATGTTATATATGCATTATATATATACACATATATATACATTTTAATACATGGTTAAAGTGCTATTTTCTATTAGTGGGCAAAGAAAGAGCTATTCAATGGTGGTGTGACAATTTGGCCATCCACTTATAAAACAAATGCTAATTATCTACCTCACTTTATATACAAGAGTATATTTAGGTAGATTTTAGGCTTAAATAAATTTTTATTATGATTAGATGAAAATACAGGAGAATGTTTTCACCATCTGTAGATTCAATTTAAGTGATACTCCAAATCTCAAAGACGTAAAGAAAACAAAAAAATAAATTTGACAATATAAAAAGGAACTATTTTTGTCTGATGAAAACAAACACCAAGTTAATAATTACTTCTAAAGTGGAAGAAAATAACTGCAACACATTTGGCAAAGGATAGTCATAATATATTGAGAAATTATTTAGTTACACTAGGGAAAACAAAGCAATTAAATTTAATTCCAAAGGAAAGACAATAGAAAATTGGTTGAAATATATGATCATTCATGATGAAAACCATTAACAAACTGGGCATAGAAGGAACATATCTCAAAATAATAAAGGCCAAATATGACCAACTCAGGGCCAACATCATACTAAATGAGAAAAAGTTTAAAGTGTTTCCTCTAAGAACTAGAACAAGATAAAGATGTCTACTTTCACCACTCCTATTCGATATAGTACTGGTAGTCATAGCCAGAGCAATCAGGGAAGAGAAAGAAAGAAAAGGCATCCAAATTGAGAAGGAGGAAGTCAAATGTCCCTGTTTGAGATGACATAATCTTATATGTAGAAAAACCAATAGCCTCCAGCAGAAACTCTTAGATTTGATAAATGAATTTAGTAAAGTTGCAGACTACAAAATCAATGTACAAAAATCAGTAGTGTTTTATACACAAATAATCATCTAGCTGAGGATGAAATCAAGAAGGCAATTTCATGTGCATTAGCAGAAATAAAATAAAATAAAATAAAATACCTAGGAATAAATTTAACAAAGGAGATGAATGAGGAAAACTACAAAACACAGATGAAAGAAATTGTATATGACTTAAACAATGTATATGAAAACATGATGTTTTCATCATGGGATGAAAAACATCCCATGATCATGGATCAGAAGAACAAATATCATTAGAATGACCATACCACCCAAAGCAATCTACAGATTCAATGCAATCTCTATCAGAATATCAAAGTCATTTTTCAGAGAAATGGAAAAAATAACCTGAAAATTATGAAACCAAAAAAGAGCCCAAATAGCAAAAGTAATCCTAAGCAAAAAGAACAAAGTTGGAGGCAGCACATTACCTGACTTCAAAGTATATTACAAGACTATAGTAACCAAAGCAGCATGGTAGTGGTATAAAAGTAGACACATAGATCAATGGAACAGAATAAAAAACCCAGAAATAAAGCCATATATTTATAGCTAACTGATCTTTAACATAGCTGACAAGAACATACATTGAGAAAAGGACTTTTTTTTTCAATAAATTGTGCTGGGAAAATCAGATTACCATATGCAGAAGAATGAAACTGGACCCCTATCTTACACCATATAGAAAAATCAGCTCAAGATGGTTTAAAGACTTAAATGTAAGACTCAAAACTATAAAAATCCTGTAAGAAGACTCTTCCGGACATTGATCTAGGCAAATAACTTATTACAAAGACCTCAAATACACAAGCAACATAAACAAAAATAGACAAATGGGTCTTAATTAAACTAAAAAGCTTCTCCATAGCAAAAATAAACATCAACAGACAGAACAGACAACCTGCAGAGGGGAAAAATATGTGCAAATCAAACTATTTACCCAACAGAGGACAATATCCAGAATATAAAAGGAACTCTAACACCTCAACAACAACAACAACAACAACCTCATTAAAAACTGGGCAAAGGACATGAATAGACATTTTTCAAAAGAAGACATACAAATGGCCAACAGATATATGAAAAAGTGCTCAATATTACTAATCATCAGAGAAATGCAAATTAAAACCACAGTGAGATAGCATCTTACCTCAGTCAGAATGGGTATTATTAAAAAGGCAGAAAATAACAGATGTTGGCAAGTATTCAGAGAAAAGGGAACACTTTTGCAATGTCGGTGGGAATGTAAGTTAGTAAAACCTCTGTGGAAATAGTGTGGAGATTTCTCAAAGAATTAAAGTAGAACTACCATTCAATCCAGCAATCCCACTACTGAATATCATATTCAAAGGAACAGAAACCAATTTAACTATTAATTTAAAAAACCCCTGCATTTGTGTGTTTATCACAGCACTATTCATAATAGAAAAGATCAATCTAAGTATCCATCAATGGATGATTGGGTAAGTAAAAGGTGGTATATATACAAAATGGAAAACTATTCAGCCATAAAAAGAATGAAATCATGTCTTCTGTAGCAACACGAATTGAACTGGAGGTCATTATCTTAAGTGAAAAAAGTCAGACACAGAAGTCAAATATCATATTCTCATTCATAAGCGAGTGCTAAAAAAAGTGTACACGTGGACGTAGAGGGTGAGATCATAGACAATGGAGACTAGGAAGGGTGAGGAGATGAGAGGAAGGTTGATGATGATAAATTACTTCATAGTTACAATGTACATTATTTGGTTGATGAAGACTCTGAAGCCCTGATATGAGCACTATACAAACTATGCAAGTAATAAAAGTTACTTACACCTCATGAATATATGCGAAAACGAATATTATCAGTAAGAGATTAGCAGAAGTTCTCAAAGGGCCAATACTTCTCTGGAAAGATGTTGAGGAATAGAGGTAAAACCAGAAATGAAGATTCATATTCGCCTGTCACACAGTAATGAGTTTTTAAAGTTGACTGTGTGGCCAAGGTAACAAGGACATACTGACTCTCATAGATTGTTGATTTGAGTAAATGTTGGTATAGCTTCTGTTGGGACGTTGGTAAAATTTCCTGACGTTTTATTTTTATTTTTTATATATTAATTTTTTTGAGATGGAGTTTCACTGTCACCCAGGCTAGAGTGCAGTGCAGCAATCTAGACTCACCACAACCTCCGCCTCCTGGGTTCAAGCAATTCTCATGCCTCAGCCTCCCGAGTAGCTGAGATTACGGGCGAGCACCACCATGCCTGGCTAATTTTTATATTTTTAGCAGAGACGAGGTTTCTCCATGTTGGCCTGGCTGGTCTCGAACTCCTGACCTCAGGTGATCCACCCACCTCAACCTCCCAAAGTGCTAGGATTACAGGCATGAGCCAGTGCGCCCCGCCAGCATTTCTTGAAGTTTTAAATGTGTGTACATTGATCCAGTAATTCCAGTTCTGAATAAATACCTTAAAAATCACTAGCAGTGTGCTTGGTGATGTGTAGGTTTTTAAAATGATGTTCAACACAAGATTGTTTGCTACAGAAAACATTTTGACTGAAATGCTAAGATTTGTTACTATGAAGAGCAAACGGTGATTTTATGTTTTTACTCCATCTTCCTCTGTTCTGTTTGAACTTTTTAAAAGTCTTGCAAAACCGTTTGGCATTTCAAAATACATCTGAAAATCTTTTATTGTCTTGAGAATTTGTTCAAGCTGGATAAGTGAATTCAGTGGATTTTTATTGGTTTTATTGCCTTTCTGTAATTTGTTGCTGGGACTAGGGAAATAACAGTAGTTGAAAATATTATCTAGAGTGCCAGATATTGACATTTATTAAAAAGATATTTAAATGATGCTATTTATGGAAGTCTTGCAGTTTTGGGAAATGCTTTCTGTGCCAGCAAAACTTCTTGCTATGTCAAGTTTAAAATCATATACCTCTGTGGATGTTTGAGGCTGTACACTAGCAGTCTTGCCATGGTATCACGCACAGAGAATGACTTTTAGGATAGAAATGAGAAAAGAGCTGGAAATCGGAAGTGGTATCTTTTGACAAGTGAATATATCCAATTTATGCACTGTACTCTGGAACTAAAGGAAAAGTAATGGAAATTTCTTTCATATTCAGATTCAACCAGGCTTATAAAATTACTACCATCATATCAGTGTTGAGAGGCAGAATAATTTCATAAACAGAAAGCAGGCTTAAGAACTTATCTTGCAGGACCTGCGCAGTGGCTCACGCCTGTAATTCTAGCACTTTAGGAGGCCAAGGTGGGTGGATCGCTTGAGCTCGGGAGTTCAAGACCAGCCTGGGCAACATGGTGAAACCCCATTCCTCCAAAAAATACAAAAATTAGCCAGGCACGGTGGTGCATGCCTGTAGTCCCAGCTACTCGAGAGGCTGAGGCAGGAAGATCGCTTGAACCCCAGAGGTCGAGGCTGCAGTGAGCCGAGATCACACCCCTGCACTCCAACCTGGGTGACAAAGTAAGATCTTGTTTCAAAAAAAAAAAAAAAAAGAAAAAAAAAACTTACCTTGTTTTTTGACCTAATGATGTTCTCTTCTGATTTGTGTATTATCACTTTAAATTATATGTGTCCACAACATTGAAAGGTATTTTAATTTTGTCACAGTAAATATATGAATCAGGTAATATGTTTTTTAAAAAGAAGTCTAAACAACTCCACTACTTACAAGTACACAGTGACTAAAGGGTAAGGACCTCATCAAGAGAAGGCTGAAATGCCAGTGCAGATTAGACCAGAATAAATATATATATATATATATATATATATATATATATATAAAAGACCAGAATAAATACATTGTGTGTGTGTCTGTATATATATGTGTGTATATACACATATATACACACGTAACATATATATATTTATATTTATACACACACCACATTTTAATCTATTCATCTGTTGATGGATAGAAGTTGATTCAATGTAAGGCCTACTGTGAATACTGCTGCAATAAATGTGGAAGTGCAGTTATCTCTTCAATATACTGACTTTATTTCCTTTGGATATATACCCAGTAGTGGGATTGTTGGATCATATGATAGTTCTGTTTCTAACATTTTAAGGAAACTTTATAGTGTTGGCCATGGAGGTTGTACAAATTTACATTATCACTAACAGTGTATAAGTGTTCCCCTTTTCTCCACATCCCCAGCATCTCCTTTTTTTTTTTTTTTTTTTTTGGTTTTTGATAATAGCCGTTCTGACTAGGGTGAGATCATATCTCATTATAGTTTTGAATAGCATTTCCCTCACGATTAGTGATGTTAGCATTTTTTTCATAGACTTGTTGGCCATTTGCATGTCTTCTTTTGAGAAATGTCTACTCAGACCTTTCTTTTTGCTATTGAGTTTGAGTTTCTTATATATTCTGGATATTACCCCCTTGTCAGATGTATAGTTTTTAAATATTTTTCTCCCACTCTGTGGGTTGTCTCTTCACTCTGTTAATTGTTTACTTTGCTGTGCAGAAGCCTTCTACTTTGACATAGTTCCACTTGTCTATTCTTGCTTTTGGTGTTTGTGCTTTTTTGGTAGTATCCAAAAAATTCCTTGCCCAGACCAATATCATGAAGCGTTTCTTCTATGTGTTTTTTTTGTATAGTAAGTCCTCACTTAACATCATTGATAGGTTCTTGGAAACTGTGACTTTAAGTGAAATGACATTTAATGAAACCAATTTTACCATATGCTAATGTATATAAGCAAGAGTTAAATTCCTATGGCATATTTTTGTTTCTATAAGCATTATCAAACTTCTAAATAGTCACCAAAATACTTATTATAATATTAAATATCAAAATAAATGTGAGCTATACATAACACTTAAGAAAGACTAATGAAAACAAGTAGGATAATTATTTTACCAAGTATTCCAGTTCAGAGTTGCAGGTAGCCCAGGGCCTATCCTTCAATTCAGGTTGCAAGACGAGAACCAAACCTGGACAGAACACCTTTCCATTGCTGTGTGCTCTCATGCACACACCCACACTAACTCATACTGGGGCAATTTAGATACACTAGTTAAACAAATGTGCACATATTTGGGATGTAAGAGGAAACTGAAGTATCTGGGAAAAAACTCACAGACACTGGCCCCAGCGAGGAATGGATTTTTTTTTTCTCATCTATGCTATGAGTAAACAATGTTGAAAGAAATGACATTATTAAACGACCTGCTGTAGTTTCATTGTTTGGGTCTTAAATGTAAGTCTCCTATCCATTTTGAGTTGATTTTTGTAAGTGGTGAAAAATAAGGATCTAATTTCATTCTTCTGCATATGGATATCCAATTTTCCTAAAATCATGATTTGACTAGACTATCCTCTTCCCAATGTGGGTTCTTGGCACCTTTGTTGAAAATTAATTGGTTGTAAAGGTGTTAATTTATAATTATAATTGTTAATACAATAAGTTTTCTATTCTTTTCCATTGGACTATGTGTTTTCTGTTTCTTCATGAAAATCTTGGTAGGCTTTATGTAACTATGAATTTATCAATTTCTTGTAGATTTTCCAATTTGTTGACATATAGTTATTCTTAAGGATAATTATTTGTTAATAATACCTTTAATGATCCTTTGTATTTCTGTGGTATCAGTTGTGATGTCTCCTTTTCATCTCTGATTTTACTTATTTGAGCAGTCTCTTATTCTTAGCTGAGCTATAGGTTTGTCGGTTTCGTTTACTTTTTCAAAAAACAACTCTTCATTTCGTTGATCTTTTGTATTAAACTTTTAGTCTCTATTTTGTTTATTTCTGCTCTGATATATATTATTGCTTACTACTAATTTGAGGTTTGGTTTGTTCTTGTTTCTTTTATTTACATGAGGTGCAATTATAGATTGTTTATTTGAGATCTTTCTATTTTTATTATGTAGGTGTTTACTGCCATAAACTTCCCTCTTAGAACAGCTTTTGCTGTTTATCATACATTTTAGTATGTTGTGTTTCCAGTTTTCGTTTTTCATTGACACACTGGTAGTTCAGGGGCATGTGGTTTAATTTCCATGTTTTTGCATATTTTTCAAAGTTCCTCCTCTTATAGATTTCTAGTTTTATTTCATTGTCTTTAGAAAGCATAATTGATATGATTTTATTTTTTTAAATTCTTAGCACTTATTATTTGATTCAACATATTATCTATTCTGGAGAATGTTCCATGTGCTGTTGAGAAGAATGTGTATTCTGTGGCTGTTGGATGGAATGTTTTGTAAATATCTGTTAAGTTTATTTGGTCTATAGTGTGATTGACTCTGATGTTTCCTTGTTGATTTTCTGTATGGATGATCTCCCTTACTGCTGAAAGAGCAATATAGAATTTTGCTATTAATGTATTGCAATCTATTCTTCCTTTAATTCTATTAATATTGGCATATTGGTATATAAATATTTATTGTTCCAGTGTTGGGTGCACATATAATTGGTAAATTCTCTTGCTATGTTGATAACTATATCACTATATAATAACTTTCTTTGCCTATTTTTACAGCTTTTGGCTTTAAAAGTCTATTTTATCTGATACTAGTATTGCTATTCCTGCTCTTTTTTTGTTTCCGTTTGCATGAAATGTTTTTCTGTTTGTTTGTTTGTTCTTATTTTTGTTTTTTGGAGATGGAGTCTTGCTCTGTCCCCTAGCTGGAGTGCTGTGGCACAATCTTGGCTCAAAGTGACCTCCGCCACCCAGGTTCAAGCGATTCTCCCACCCTAGCCTCCCGAGTAACTGGAATTACAGGCACCTGCCATCACACCCGGCTAAGTTTTGCATTTTTAGTAGAGACAAGGTTTCATCATGTTGGCCAGGCTGGTCTTGAACTCCTGATCTCAGGTGATCTGCCCGCCTCGGCCTCCCAAAGTGCTGGGATTACAGGTGTGAGCCACCACACTAGGCCTGAAATACTCTTTTTCATCTTTCAGTGTATGCATGTCCTTACAGATGAAGGAATTTTTCTTGTAAGCAGTATATAGTTAGGTCAATGTAGCCATGCTATGGCTTTTTTTTTTTTTTTTTTTTTTTGGAGATGGAATCTCGCTCTGTCACCCAGGCTGGAGTGCCCCAGGCTGGAGTGCAGTTGCGTGATCTCACTGCCAGATCTGCCTCCCGGGTTCACACCATTCTCCTGCCTCAGCCTCCCGAGTAGCTGGGACTACAGGGGCCCGCCACCATGCCCAGCTAATTTTTGTATTTTTAGTAGAGACGGGGTTTCACTGTGTTAGCCAGTATGGTCTTGATCTCCTGACCTTGTGATCCACCCGCCTTGGCCTCCCAGAGTTCCTGGATTATAGGCGTGAGCCACCACACCCAGCCGCTATGGCTTTTAATAGGAGAATTTAATCCATTTATATTCAAGGTAATTATTGATAGGTAAGGGCTTACTACTACCATTTTGTTACTTGATTTTTAGTTGTCTTTTTGATACTTTCTTTCTTCCTCTCTTAAAGCAATCCTTTGTAGTGAAATGACTTTTTCCAGTAGTGTGTTTAGGTGCCTTACATTTTATTTTAAGTGTATCTACTATAGATTTTTGCTCTGTGGTTACTGTGGGGCTTACAAAATTATCCTTTTGTTATAATAAGTTATTGTAAAATGATAACAATTTAACTTTGATCACAAAAAGAAACAGAAAAAGTACATTTAACTCAATTTTTCTCACCATATTTTGAATTATTTTCATTTTATAGTGTTTTAATGTTGCTTATCTCTTAACAAATTATCATAGTTATTACTTGTAATAGTTTTATCTTTTAATCTTTTTACTGAAGATATAAGTGCTTTACAAATCACAATTATGACATTAACAATAATTTTAGCATCCTTTTCTTTCAGTTTGAAGAACCCCTTTTAGCATTTCTCTCCTTCACTTCTGAAGGAGAATTGTACTGGGTACGGTATTCTTGGTTGGAAGCTATTTTTTTTCTTTAGCACTCTGATTACATCATGCCACACCCTACCGGCCTGTAAGGTTTCTCTATTGAGAAGTCTGCTCTCAGACATATTGGATCTCCTACATGAGTTATTTACTTATTTTCTCTCAATTTGCATTCAGGATCCTTTCTTTGTATTTGACCCTTGAAAATTTGATTTTAATATGTCTTGGAGTATTCTTATTTATGTTGAAACTGATTGGTGGCCTTTAACCTCCTTGTATCTGAATATTTATCCAGGTTTGGGAAATTTTCTATTACTATTTATTTACAAACTTATATTTTTGGTTCAGAGGTACATGTTCAGGCTTGTTTTATATGTAAATTGCATGCCACGGAGGTTTGGTGTACAGATTATTTCATTACCCACCTAATAAGCATAGAACCCAATAGGTAGTTTTCCAATCCTCACCATAATTCCATCCTCTACCCTCAAGTAGTCCATGGTGTCTGTTGTTCCCTTCTTTGTGTCTATATATACTCAACATTTAGCTCCCACATATAAGTGAGAACATGTGGTATTTGGTTTTCTCTTCCTGTGTTAGTTTGCTTAGGATAATGGCCTTCAGCTGCATCCATATTGTTACAAATGACATGATATCATTCTATCATATGGCTGGGTAGTATTTCATGGTATATATGTGTCACATTTTCTTTATCCTGTCTACCATTGATGGGCATCTAGGTTGACTCCATGTCTTTGCTGTTGTGAATAGTGCTGCAATGAATATATGCATGCATGTGTCCTTATGGTAGAATGATTTATATTCCTTTGCGTGTGTATGCAATAATGGGATAGCTGAGTCAAACAGTAATTCCTTTTTAAGTTCTTTGAGAAATTGCCAAACGATTTTCCTCAATGTCTGAACTAATTTACATTCCTACCAGCAGTGCATAAGTGTTCTATTTCCTTCACAACCGCACCAGCATCTGTTACTTTTTGACATTTTAGTAAAAGCCATTCTGTGGCTGTGATTTAAAAGTCAAAAAATAACATGGTGGTAAGGTTGCATAAAAAAAGGAACACTTACACACTGTTGTTGGAAGTGTAAATTGGTTCAACCATAGTGGAAAGCCATATGACGATTCCTCATAGAGTTAAAAGCAGAAATACCATTTTTCCCAGCAATCCCATCACTGGATATATACCCAGAGGAATATACATCATTCTACCATAAAGAAAGATACATACAAATGTTCATTGCAGCAGTATTCATAATAGCAAAGACATGGAATCTATCTAAATGCCCTTCAATGACAAACTAGGTAAAGAAAATGCGGTACGTATACACCATGAAATACAATGCAGCTATAAAAAAGAATGAGATCATTTCTTTTGTGGGAACATAGATGGAGCTGGAGGCTATTATCCTTAGCAAACTAATGCAGGAGCAGAAAAAATAACTAATGAGTACTGGGATTAATACCTGGGTGGTGAAATAATCTGTACAACAAACTGCTGTGACATTAGTCTTCCTGTCTAACAAACCTCGCCCTGTACCCCTGAACCTAAAATAAAAGTTTAAAAAATAGACAGTCTGTCTGGTGTGAGATGGTGTCGCATTGAGGTTTTCATTTGCAATCCTATTTTGTGTGCATGTTAAACTGCATTTTTAAAAACTAATTTATATGTGGTTTTTTTTTTTTTTTCAGAGTTTCACTCTTGTTGCCCAGGCTGGAGTGCAATGGCGTGATCTCGGCTCACCGCAACCTCCACCGCCCGGGTTCAAGCAATTCTCCTGCCTCAGCCTCCCAAGTAGCTGGGATTACAGGCGTGCTCCACCACGCCCAGCTAATTTTGTATTTTTAGTAGAGACGGGGTTTCACCCTGTTGGCCAGGCTGGTTTCAAACCCCTGACCTCAGGTGATCCGTCTGCCTCGGCCTCCCAAAGTGCTGGGATTATAGGCATGAGCGATCATGCCCTGCCTAAATTATATGTTTTAATTTTTAAAAATTGCAAGTACATAGTAAGTGGATATATTTATGGGATACATGAGATATTTTCATACAGGCATGCCATGTGAAATAAGCACATCATGAGGAATGAGGTATCCATTACCTCAAACATTTGTTCATTGAGGTGCAAACAATCCAATGACACTTTTTTTTTTTTGCGACAGAGTTTCACTCTTGTTGCCCAGGCTAAATTGCAATGGCATGATCTCAGCTCACTGAAACCTCTACCTCCCAGGTTCAAGCAATTATCTTGCTTCAGCCTCCCGAGTCGCTGGGATTATAGGCCTGCACCACCAGGCCTGGCTAATTTTGTATTTTTAGCAGAGACGGGGTTTCTCCATGTTGGTCAGGCTGGTCTTGAACTCCCGACCTCAGGTTTTCTGTTCCTGTGTTAGTTTGCTGGGGATGATGGTCTCCAGCTTCATCCATGTCCCTGCAAAGGACATGAACTCATTCTTTTTGTTGCTGCATAGTATTCTATGGTGTATATGTGCCACATTTTCTTTATCCAGTCTATCATTGATGGGCATTTGGGTTGGTTCCAAGTCTTTGCTATTAAAAATAGTGCTGCAATAAACATACATATGCATGTATCTTTATAGTAGAATGATTTACATTCCTTTGGGTATATACCCAGTAATGGGATTGCTGAGTCATGAATAAACCACCAAAAGCAATTTCAACAATAGCCAAAATTGACAAATGGGATCTAATTAAACTAAAGGGCTTCTGCTCAGCAAAAGAAACTATCATCAGATTGAACAGGTAACCTACAGAATGGGAGAAAATTTTTGCAATCTATCATCTGACAAAGGTCTAATATCCAGAATCTACAACAAACATAAACAAATTTACAAAAAACAAACAACCCCATCAAAAAGTGGGTGAAGGATATGAACAGACAGTTCTCAAAAGAAGATATTTATGCGGCCAACAAACATGAAAAAAAGCTCAACATCACTGGTCATTAGAGAAATGCAAATCAAAACCACAATAAGATACTATCTCACACCAGTCAGAATGGCCATTATTAAAAAGTCTGGAAACAACAGATGCTGGAGAGGATGTGGAGAAATAGGAATGCTTTTACACTGTTGGGGGGAGTGTAAATTAGTTTAACCATTGTGGAAGACAGTGTGCCAATTCCATAAGGATATAGAACCAGAAATACCATTTGACCCAGCAATCCCATTACTGGGTATATACCCAAAGGATTATAAATCATCCTACTATAAAGACACATGCACATGTATGTTTATTGCAGTACTATTCACAATAGCAAAGACTTGGAACCAACCCAAATGCCCATCAATCTTAGACTGGATAAAGAAAATGTGGCACATATACACCATGGAATACTATGCAGCCATAAATAAGAATGAGTTCATGTCCTTTGCAGGGACATGCATCAGGCTGAAAACCATCATTCTCAGCAAACTAACACAGGAACAGAATACCAAACACCACATGTTGTCACTCATAAGTGGGAGCTGAAAAATGAGAACACATGGACACAGTTAGGGGAACATTACACACCGGGGCCTGTTCGGGGGTTGGGGGGCAAGGGGAGGGAGGGCATTGGGACAAATACCTAATGCACGCAGAGCGTAAAACCTAGATGACATGTTGATAAGTGTAGCAAACCACCATGGCACATGTATACCCATGTAGCAAACCTTCATGTTTAGCACATGTATCCCAGAACTTAAAGTAAAATAAAATAAAATAAATCCATGGGGAAATTTTTCTTTCTCTACAAGCACACGTTCAGGAAAGGCCCTTCAATTTACTTGTTTCTATTTTTTAAAGGAATAGGAATGTATTCTCTCATAATTCTGGTGGTCGGATGTACAAAATCAAGGTATCAGCAGGGCCCTGCTTAGTACAGCCAATTTGAAAAATAGTAGGGAGGCTAAAAAAATTAAAATAAAAGTCCCATATGATCCGGCCATCCCACTTCTGGGTATATATTCAAAGGAACTGAAATCAGTATCAGACACAAGGCTAAATCCTCTTTCCGTTTTGTGAGCATTATAACCAAAACCTCATACTATCAAGGCCTATTTTCAGGCCTGATACCAGCCTGAAGCAACATGGCTTTAGGCTTCACAGTTAACGCTGTGGTTTTGACCTGTGTATCTGCTTCTGAAAACTAGGGATATCCTTTTCTCTATAGAAAGCTAATTTGTGAAATAACACTTTATGTCTAGGATTTTCCTGTTCCTAGGGTTAGAGGGGCATCCATGCTATTCATTATTTTCTGCTACCTGTAACAGTCTACCTTATATTTTCTACTAGTTGAAGCGAGGTTATTGAAATGCTGCCTAAAACTTTTCATCAATGATATAAAGGAAAATACTGTTATTTGACTTTGTGGCATCATACGGAAGACTAGCCTAAATCACTAAAAAAAATTATACTTTTCTATGAATAGTGTTCTAAATGGATGTCAAAGGCATTGACACCTTAATTTTCTCTTTTATGTTTTTTTCCGTAATGTCTACTTTTTAAACCCTGGCTTAATGCCTGTGAATGTAATGTTTTTCACTTGTCATTTCCTAATTGTTGCATTTCTTTATTCTCAGTCCAGTGGAAATTTTAACACAAGGCTTTATTCCAATAATAACCACATAAACCTGTTTGAAAAGTAATGTGACTTCTATTCTAATTGTTTTGTCACTATAGTTTACAGTCCCAAGGCAGTTTTCAGGTTTGTTTTTCACCTATAAAGTAAATCAATTTTATGAATATATGTAAATTTATATATCTGTGAATACATATACCTACATATATAGATATTTACCATTTTCTAAATGTTAAAATGGAAATCTCACAATCATGATAAAATTATGCTAATAGACTTATCTATATTATAATGACAGCATTATCTCAGCCTGTGCTTACTACTTTCCTAAGGACACTTTTGATTTCATTGTTGCTGATCCGGGCTCTGACTTCCCACAAATAAAAATCATGTGGAAAGATTTCCATATTCATTGACTTTTAAAATATGTTGCTACATTTAAAAAAAAAACACTATTTACTCAAAGTAAATTCAGTGAGATTGTTGCACAAGAATAAACACTGATACAAGAAATCTTTACTTGGTTCATTAGATCTTTGCCAGTATAACTTATGAACTAATTATGGGCACTATTCGATTGTTT